>NC_000023.11:33039628-33189985 GCF_000001405.40 Homo sapiens
AATTCAATTTTTAAAATATCACTTATCTACTACGGCCTTTCTCTAATAAAAATAAGTATTATTCATTGTTTCCATCTAAAGTAAGGGTAACTGTAATGATTAACATGTCGAATGTGGATATCCCAAGAGGGTAAAATACTTACGCTTTCCATCATAATCAAGTTCCTCTTCTGCTTAGGATGTAAAAATGCTATATAAGAACGTTGCTCCACCCAATGAGAAAAAGCAGGGTGATCTATAAAAACGTATTATTTTTTGAGCCATTTATATAGCTGTGGCCACAAGGCAACGAGGTGAGCCAAAGTACTTCAATCTCCTCCAAGGAGAGACTGGATACATGAAAGGTTTACCTTTGGCAGGGAACTGGAGGAAGAAGTAGTCATCGTAGGAGCAGGAAAAAGAAAATAGCTCCAATTGTAAGGCATTCTTAAAAGTCAGGTGTGGGCTGGTATGACATTTCAGCATCCTTGGAAATGCAGACCGAAGGAGTCTGCACTCATTCTGGAATTCTTTTCCACAAACTTCTATTGGGAACTTGCAAAAAAGTAAGGCGTAGGACAAGAGATAGGAAGAAGCTCCCCTCAGTGACACACAAACATGAAGTCAAACCCATTTTCCAGACCCTCCTCTTCTAAAAGGCGTAAGATTTAAGGAAAGATACTAAACTGAAGGAAAGATACTAAACTCTACCACCCATGGGACCCGCCTGTTCAGAGGGGTTGGGGAAGGTAGAAGCCACTGAGAGAGGGTCAAGATACCCTCTTTGGAAGAGCAGTATGATAACCTCTTTGGCCCAGGATTCTGCACCAATAAAAACAGAATGATCTGTTACCACTAGGGGAGAGACAGGCATATAAGGCTTGCTGAAAACTGAGGATGGAACAAGAAGATAGAAATCCCTTTAGGACCGCAGACACTATTACATTAAGCACGGGATAGCAGCAGCCCATCAGTGGAGGTCTTTGAAGACTGTAGTGTTCTGAAGGTTGCTACAGCAACAACAACCCCCGCCCCTCCAAACCAGCTCAATACTAACACCACTGACTCAAACCCCATACTAGCAGTATGACAGAAAAAAAGCTATACCTATTTCCAAGATTAAACATATTTACCTCATTCTCTATTTTTCTTCTATACATGACATCTAACATTCACTAAAAAGAAAATGAGACTTGCAAAAAATAAATAAAACTAAGCAAAATACACCCATTATCAAGAAGTAAAGCCATCAACATAACCAGACTAAGAGATAACCTATATGCTTGAACTAACAGACAAGGACTTTAAAATATCTCTGACTGATAAGATAAGGAATAGATTCATCTAGATACTAAAGAAAACATCCAAAACTTTCACAAACAGATGGGATGTTTCAGCACAGTGATGGAATCTGTAAAATGATGCAATGGAATTGCTAACAATAAGCAATAATCAACTCAAAATGTTAATGTAGCAATTGCAAAATTATTTCTATTATAAAAAATGTTAAATTACAAAGAGAATAACAGTACCTTAAAATGACACATAATTTAAAATACTACAGATGTTAATATTGGAAAAATTGTTTACCAATGTTCACACCTGAGTACTCAATCCTTTGATGGAAGGTATGACACTATAATGATTTATTATAAAAACTCCTTAAGTGGCCGCGCAGCCTGCGCATGCGCGCCGGCGACCAAGCCTAAATAGCTACCGCCTCTGCGCGTCGCCCTCCACGGTTACCCCGGCTTTCCGCCCCTCCTTCTCGCGGGGCTCGAGGGACCATGGCCGATCCTCGCGTGAGACAGATCAAGATCAAGACCGGTGTGGTGAAGCGGTTGGTCAAATAAAAAGTGATGTATGAAAAAGAGGCAAAACAACAAGAAGAAAAGATTGAAAAAATGAGAGCTGAAGATGGTGAAAATTATGACATCAAAAAGCAGGCAGAGATCCTACAAGAATCCCGGATGATGATCCCAGATTGCCAGCGCAGGTTGGAAGCCGCATATTTGGATCTTCAACAGATATTAGAAAGTGAAAAAGACTTGGAAGAAGCTGAGGAATATAAAGAAGCACGTTTAGTACTGGATTCAGTGAAGTTAGAAGCCTGAAACTTTTCTCGTATGGGGTGGTTTTTGCATTAAATCCTGGGGTCCATTTTACAATCCATTATTTTTGACCACTGCGGTGTGTTCAAGTAGTATGAGAATGTGATTGTTTTTATCTGGTTACATATATATTTCTTTGTCTAATTTAATATGTCAAATAAATGAGTTCATCTAAAAAAAAAATCCATACGTGATGTGTGGTTTATATTTGTAACTGCCTATATGATATATATTCTTACCCCAACCCCATCCCATCATATAGATAAGAAAATGCTACTTATGTGCTCAGGTTTACACAACTCTTAGATGTCTCTGACTACAAAGTCTTTGTTCTTTTTAATGTACCTCTATGCCTCTCATACTTTAAAATTGAAATAAATTAATCTACTGCTCCAAATGATCAATTTTCCATGGAAAAAAAAGAGAACTTTTGTAATTGTAACAACCTCTGCTATATGACTAAACACTGAGCCATGAGGTGGGCTGCCAGGTAAATTGGAAGGCTTCATCTAAAAAGTACAAGACTGTGAGGCATATTCCCTTCTCAACAGCCTAGGATGATTGGATCTACCCATTCTGTCACATTTTCAATATATAATTCCTGTTCAAACTTTCTATTAATATATCATTTCAAGTTTCATTGATAGTCCTAAAATGCAACACAAAAGACGAGCAGATGATTTCAGCCATTCCAATTTGCAGCCTTTTGTAGAGGGGCATCAATAGATTTTACTGTACTTGCATAAAGCCCTAGTTGTTCTTTTCCTATTCTATCATTTCTGGATTGGCGAATGGGATAAAATGTTCAGGAAAGAAAAAACAAATCTCAACACAAACGTGAATGTCATTGAAAGCTAAAAAAGTAAACAAAGTTAATGATCACACCCGTAAGTGCTACTGATTTTTCATTGAACTCAGAGGAGAAAGTTACTGGATTCCCAAAAGTAAGTGAAGGGTATATGTTTGCTAAATGCATTCACAGCCTGTTGCTCTAATTATTTGAGGTTTTTTATGTGTTGTTGTTTTAGCTGTTGTTTGTGTTTTTTATTCTTTCTGCATTTTTCTTCTACTGTACAGTTGTTATTCATGCTATGAGTTATCTAAAGTTTACATTAATAATCAAATTCCTTGCACCATCCCAACTCTGAAACACACAACTTGGATGGAGATTAAGACTCATTCAGGACTCAGGCAGACATCCTTAGTACCCAGAACCACAACACAGCACACACGAATGCATGGTTCTATAATTATTTTATGGAGCATCTATGAATTTGCTATGCACCGGACCCTGGGAAGTCAATGTACAGTGGTCAACAAAAACAATTCAATTGTATTAATATTTAGAAGCCACAAAATGCAAATATATTCTTTTTTAATTTGAAGCTTGTTATTCTTCTGCACAATCTATAGCTCCTATTAGAATCATTAAAGTACATTCAGCAGCAGTAACAAACGAACAGGGAAAATGTGAACATGACAAAAGGCTGCCAGAGTAACACGGGTGACAAATGTGGGAACATTTTAGAATTCCCAATTTCCCACTCTAATAAAATAATATGAACAAAAAGGCTTTTTTTAGTAGCTTCAACTGAAACTATCACCTGATCTATTTCTTAAAATCCTCACGAAGGTTTCACTGAACCATTAGAGGTTTGGGCAGTCAAACAAATTAAACATGAACCAATCTTTTTAGAATGACTACTGAAGTGCTCAGTATTTCCAGCCTTCCAGTTACCACAGTGAAAGAAACAAACAGGTACTTGTCAGGTTTATAAGGGAATGATCTATTTTCTGCCCTTTTTTGCCTACTCTTTAAGGAAAACACACACACATATGCATGCAAGCATACACGCATGCACAAGCAGAACACAAATTTAGAAGCTATAGAGAAAATAAATAGAAAACAAAGAAGTTTTGACAAAACCAAACTGTCTTTACTTTTAGATTATAAAAACAATCAACTCTTTTTTTTATTATTATACTTTAGGTTTTAGGGTACATGTGCACAACGTGCAGGTTTATTACATATGTATACATGTGCCATGTTGGTGTGCTGCACCCATTAACTCGTCATTTAACATTAGGTATATCTCCTAATGCTATCCCTCCCCCCTCCCCCCACCCCACAACAGGCCCCGGTGTGTGAGGGAATTAGAATTTTGTAATTCATTTGGGTAGAGGAGCAAAAGGTATATATTAGGCTCAACTTTTCAGTCGGTGATGAGAGACAAATGGCCTGCCATCCCTGCCCTCTCTCACCTACCCCAGTTAATCTAAATCTGCAAAACGAAAGGAGCTTCCACTAGGCCAGAGGGGCTGCAGGATGGGAAAACAATCAGAATGGAACACTTTCATGGGCGTTCCTACAGACCAATTTGCTTCCAGTCAGCCCATTTAATTTCATATTTATGATTGTTTAAAAGAGAGAGCCCAGGCGCAGTGGCTCATGCCTGTAATCCCAGTACTTTGGGAAGCCGAGGCAGGTGGATCACTTGAGGTCAGGAGTTCAAGACCAGCCTGGCCAACGTGGTGAAACCCCGTCTCTACTAAAAATACAAAAATTAGCCGGGCGTGGTGGTGCATGCCTGTAATCCCAGCTACTAGGGAGGCTTAGGCAGGAGAATCACTTGAACCCGGGAGGAGGAGGTTGCAGTGAGCTGAGATCGCACCACTGTACTCCAGCCTGGGTGACAGAGCAAGAGTCAGTCTCAAAAAGAAAGCAAGGAGGGAATGGGACAATTCATAAAAGCAAGCCCCAGCAGTTCTAGTTAACTGTGAACTGAACCAGTAAGATGCACATTGATTTAACTTCGGAAATAATTTATGTGCTGGTTTCTTAAATGACTGCTACATATTGCCTTCTTACCTGACGATGGAGTGCAGAATATGGGGACAAAAATAAGAGCAATTCCAAGGAAATGCTTTATGCCCGAGTGCTAATTCAGAACCATACTGAAAAAGGAGATGCAAGAGAATGCTCAGCGTAGATTCTAGGCCATCCTTAAACAATCCAGAGCTGAAGAGCCGTATTCAGAGATAAATTTATTCTGCGTTCAATGTTTCTTGACCTACTTCTCGTAAGGAAAATTCTGCCTGAATACCAGAAGGAATTCATTTTTCACTTTAGCTTGAAATTTACCTTAAGATAAAACACAATAGTTGTATAAAAATATGCCTTATTTGGTTATGCATATAAAGCAGACCCAAGAGGATTTGGGGTAAAATATTTCATAAGTTGTACTATGCATGAATATAAAAAATGAGAAACAAAAGGATAGTTAGTAAAAGGCTGTTCAGTCCCAAATAAAGGAGTAATTGTTGATATGCTAAATAAAAGGGGGGTGGGGAAAGTCCTTTTTTTACAAGGGAATGTGAGGAAGGGAACTCACATTTGTTGAGGCTGTATTTTGCATTTAATCCTCACAACTAGGCTGAGAACAAACATTAGGCATTTTATTTCCCATTTACAGATTGTAAACCTGAGGCAATAGGATTAGTTGCCTGTGATAACAATTCACATGTTGAGAATCATAATATTATAGGCCTCCACCACCTAACAATGCCATCTTCAGAACTACACACACACAGGTGCGTACACACACACACACACACACACACAAGTATTTCGTGAGATTGTAACCACATTCTTAAGTTCCATCCTTTGCAAGTAAGGTAAGTTAGGCACTGTTTCCTCACTGCCTTAGGGTTGTTTATAAATACAGAGCTCTTGAATTACAAAATCAACTCTTGATTTCACTGACAGAGGTCAACTGCTTTTAGTGTAAGTGAACCATGATTCTGGCATAAACAGATATAGAAGAATCCTGTTTAAAAGTTTTTACCTGCTCTAGGTGCCTACCAAGAGAAGAAGAGGGGGAAGTTGAGAGAGTTACAGATAAGTGAGAGCTAGAAGCCGTGTGGGGGTGTGGGGAGGGTCCTGACCCTCTGACACACACACACACACCTTTTCAAATAAGAGGAACATTATAATGTCCTCTTAGGGAACCAAAGTCCTAAAGAAGAGAAGGAGGTTCTGGAGCTGCTGAAAAATAGTGCCCAACCAGAGCAAAGGGACTGGGCATGTAGATTAGCCTCACAGGGGTCTGAGCATCTCATCAGGTTTGTGATAAGCAGCTAACATGTGTCGGTGCTTGAGAAGGTCATGGAAGTTAGGAGGAGCAAGCTGGCAGTCTTTCAAGGGTGTGGTAATCAGGACACAGACACCCCAAATCCTGGAGGCAGAATAGGCAGTTCAACTAAGGGCGGGATGCAGGTACTGGTTCACTTCAGCCAATGCCTGCATGCAAAGATCTTCTTCCCCACAGACCACATTGGATGTCACATCTCTGTGTGTCCTTGACCTAGAATCAGAAGTTGGCCCTGATGCCATGAAGCTAAGTAATACTCCTGTGTTATTCCAATCCTAGAGTGGAGGCTAGAGTCCTAACAACTCCTGAATGTGACCGGTAGACCTGAAAAGTCACTGAATTTTATTAAGATTTCCTGAGAATGGTATATTAAGAAACCTGTTAAATTAAAAGAGGAACCAAAATAGAAATTTAATTTAGCTATAGAAAAATTAATAAAATACCATTTTTAGCCCACTTAAATTTGTGTGATACTGAAATTTTTTTTTCCTGCTACAGATGTATAATTTAGTGCAAAGGTGTAGGGCCCAAGGCTTCACTGTGAGGAATGTAAATGTGCTCCCCAAAATAATTTATGATTTTGACTAATGTCTGCACAAAATACTATAGTCCATAACAGGTTTCAAATCTTATAACAACTATTAATACTATCAACATGTAGAAATAAGAAAACTGAGGCTTAGAGTGGTTGGACTCTATCCATTGATTGCCCAGGATAACATCAAGTGACTGACTGGGGGCTCAAAATTGTTCTCCTGATTGTAAATATCAATCCTGTTTCCTATACTTGTCCATATACTTCCTGATGCCTATTTGGTGCTCAATAACTTTTAGATTGAGTAAAAGAATGAACAAAAACATGTATTTATTTAGTGCCCGGAAGGGGCATAGCAAATAATTGATATCCTTTCCTATCTCACATAGCATTCAGTACAGCAAAGTAAGCAAAATTGAGGAGGGAATTTTAATAATGTTGAACATCTACAAATTGCTAGACACTGAGATTTTTATGCACTTTTTAAGTTTAATCTTCGTGTTAATCCACATTACATATGAGGAAATGGAGAGAGAATATAGTTTGTCAAGGTAATGGCCATAGTCCATATAATTTGAGTGCTTACTATGTGCCACCTACTAAACACTTTAAACACATGAACATACTTCATTTTCACAGACCTTGTAAGAGAGGTACTTCTCTTGACCCTATTGTATGGATAGGAAACAAAGCTTAGCGAGGTTAAGTAACTGCCCAAGTTCATATAGCTACTTTGCAGTAGATGAGCACAAATTGAAACTCATGCTTCTCTAACTCCATTATTAACCCAATAGCAGGTGCTGAAAATCACTGATCGTGTTGCTGACAAAGGAGAGTAAACAATAGCCACATAATAATACTATCTAAGGGAACATTACTGATGTACCTAGATTTTTTAAACTTTCTTTTATTTATGAAAATAAAAATGAATATATTCGATTGTATTTTCATTCTTCCCTCTGTTTGTGCCACTTTAAACACTGGTGCCTCCCTTCTCTTTGACCCAAATACTCAAAACAGGTCACACATTTAAATATGGCAAGCCCTCCAGCCCTGCAAATGATGGACTATAAAATTTGTTTGTACTACTGGCGATTTTTTTTTAAAAAAGCTTATGCACACCTACTTTCATATTTTTAGGTTGGACAGTACCTTAGAAATAAAAACAAAAATTAAAACAGATCTTTATCTTTTAAAAAATCTATTTTCCAAAAGGAAACAAATGAATTATTTTTGTCTTATTATTACCATATAGCTTAAAAATCAATTACCTGAAATCATTATCATTCAAATCTTTAAAACAAGGCACTTAAATGTTTAATCTTTTTTAAAAACTTAGCCAATGCAAAACTGCTTTCCTCCAAAACGCCCTCAGAATTACCTGCTTCTCCTGCACTCTTAGTATCCCCAAGTTATTGGCAGTGAATAAAAGTGTAAAGGAAATGAATCTTGCAATTCTCTGTGAATTTCATTCCAAAAAAGAATTTTAGGCATTTTGATGAAGCGATGTAGGGATTAGTTTTAAATAGGGATCTCTGATTTGTGTATTATTTTCACAATTTGTAAACTTACTTTCTTCCAAAAGTGATTTGAAATAAATATTCTGAAACACTGAAGATCAATGGAAGCTAAGAATTAGAAATGCTTATACAAATCTATTAAACCTAACTGTATATATGCATATAATATTTTTGTTAAGAAACATAGAATTCTTTAGAATAATTCAATTTTATATAATTATGGATACAGACACATAGATTCACATTGTAATGTTTATTCAGATTTTGTGTTTATTTGTTGATTGTTCAGGCAAACGGAAACTGCATTTGGTGTCAACAGTTGCATTTCTTTATATTTATATTAGCTGGTTAGCTGTGCTGGCAGAACTAAAGGAAACCTGTCCATAGAGCCTTACGTAGTCGTAACTACAACACAATCATGTGTCACAAATTTATAGCACAGCAGACCTTTACACTGAAAATTGTTTAGAGAAAGAAAAATTCGACTGGGAGCGGTGGCTCACACTTGTAATCCCAGCACTTTGGGAGGCCGAGGCGGGTGGATCACCTGAGGTCAGGAGTTCAAGACCAGCGTGCCCAACATGGTGAAATCCCGTCTCTACTAAAAATACAAGAAAAATTAGCTGGGCATGGTGGCATGCACCTGTAGTCCTAGCTATTCGGGAGGCTGAGGGCAGGAGAATCGCTTGAACCCGGGAGGTGGAGGTTGCAGTGAGCCGAGATCATGCTACTGCACTCCAGCCTGGCTGACAGAGCGAGACTCCCCATCTAAAAAAAAAAAAAAAAAAAAAAAAGGAGAGAGAGAGAAAGGAAAACTTGAAAAATGAATGAGAACTGGTAAACAACTGCAGGGAAAGTAATTACCACACTCTTCATATGGCAAACTAAAGAAAGGGGGCACCGCAAGAAAAGTATTGCCAGAGCTTGAAGGGCAGAATGTGTAATTAGGATGTGATATCTGGCAGTGGTGATTCCAATCATTGGGGATTAAAACTGTATCTCAACTTGTGCTCTTTCTGTTGCTTTAGGGCCAGTGTATTCACTCAATCTTCCATGATATCTATATGGACTCACTGAACCTCAGATCTTAACTTCAGTTGAGCAGAACTAGTCTTCTCTCTCTCAGACCAAGGAAGGCATAACTTGTGTTCCATGAAGCCTACTGTGTCAAGTCTGCCAAATGAAACTTTAAATATGTAGGCATTGTCTACTTAGCCTGAACACTAAAAAGAGTCCTTTCTACAGTTCCCAAGGATTTGTTTGGTTGCAATGTTTCTAAAGTCAGTACAGAAACTTCCCTGAAAATGGAGCTCCAAACTTATCACGATTTTCATCCTGGAATGTATTTAGGTTTGTATCCCTCGACGTGCACCACTCAATTGACGTCACATACTTTTTACCTGAAATTTATTTCAGTTTCTCAGAAGACTGTATATTTCCCCAGTTACAGATTTTACTATTCCTTAAATATGGTGGCTGCCACTTTCTTAACCTACAGTATTAATGGCAGAAATGCTTAGATTTATAAAAGGCAAACATGGGGAAAAGAGAGACAATATTAAATTCAAGTCTCTCGAAAGGAAAGGAAAAGATAATGAAAAAGCAATGTAAAAAATGAGAGATAGGTGGGGCAGGTTTAAGATGCCATTGAATCTCTGCATAGACTGCCTTTTTTTTTGCTCTAAATACTAAACTTGCCTAAATTAGGCCACCTCCCTCCAGAGAACAAAAGGAAACTTGGCCACTATGGAATAGTACCAAAGTGAATTTTTAGAAGCTATTATTACCCACTCATAATCTATATTTTTGAAAATTAATATATATGTATATTTGTAATTATCAATATTAATACGAAGCAATAGGGTCAACATGAACTTGGATACTTCTGTTAAGTTCACTTAAATATTGAACTAATCTAATCACTTCTCATTTTTTCTTTAACCAAATATGTAAATTCAATATAATTGACTTAGTTCTCAAATTGGTTCAATAAAGTGTTCCCACAGTATTTGCAAATATATTCGTCTTTAGAATATTCCTCCTTAACCTTTTTAAGTAGAAATTAAAATAGAAATATTAAAACGTGTATTTAAAAGTGGTCTTTTCTCTTAACAGACATTTACTTTTTCTTACATGAATTGGTTTAGTTTTTTTTTCCAGCACTGAAACCATTCCAAAAAAAACTGTAGAAAAGAGTGAATATTTATTCTATTGGATGTTTGTTATGTTTGCATAATAACTAATTAGTGAATTGAGGCCAACTTTGATCAAAATGTTTGCTCTGAATAGATATTTGCTAATAAATAATTTTTTCATGTGATAAGTGTGTAATAATAAGTTCTCTATGCTGCCTTGCTTTGATAGAATATTCAGACAACATTTATAAATGACTAATTCAAGGAATTAAAAGGTCTTAAGTGCCCCAGAATGTAGAAATGGAATAAACATGTGGTAGTGGTGAGGGTGGGCTAGAAATGATTAAACTAGATTTTTTTTAAAAAAAGAAGCAAAAATACCGCTGGAAAAAATGCACGCAGAATAAATGTCATTATGAAATATTCTGAACGTGTGTACTTGATTTTCCTTCATCACGGCTTCATTTTGAGACGTCCAGGTCAACCACTGTCAACCAATCAATCTCTAGCCTCTTTGAGCAGAGATCAAGGGCAACAGCAGAGCCTTAATGATTTCAACCTCTAGCCTTCAAGGGCACAGATTACAGGGACTGAAAGTAAATCAGTCCATCACAAGGCACTTCAGCCCATAGCCCATGACAAAGCTTGATTAGAATGGAAAAGTGTTAAGCCATCAAAAACAAGACACAGCTATAAGGAAAGAGGAAATATAAGGCTAATGAATTTTAGTGTTCATAACAAGATAAAAATGTGTTTCTCAATACCTGTGTAGCCATTTAGAAATCTAAAGAGCAAGAAGAAAATTATGATAGAACATTCTGAGCAATTTCTTCCTCTTTTCTCAAGAGCAGAATTGAGATAGACTTAGATGTCAAGTCTACCCATTCTTCTAGGCCGTTCTCAGACCCATTTTCAAAAAAACAATAAATCCAAAAGCCAAAAGCAATAAACTTGTTTAAATACTGAAGTTCACATGGTGCTCATGTTTTCAGAAATCCACTTACACTTTACACCCATAATGTAAGTAACGTACCCTTTAAATATTTAACTGCTCACTAATGTTTTTATTTGCATATCATTTCTTTTTAAAACTAGATAACACACACTTTTTTAGCAGATATCTTTGGATCTTCACTATCTCAACTGACTTTTCTTTTTTTTTTTTTTTTTGAGACTGAATCTCCCTCTATCGCCCAGGCTGGAGTGCAGTGTTTCAATCTCGGCTCACTGCAACCTCCTCCTCCTGGGTCCAAGCGATTCTTCTGCCTCAGCCTCCTAAGTAGCTGGGATTAGAGGCACCCACCACCACGCCTGGCTAATTGTTGTATTTTTAGTAGAGAAGGGGTTTCATCACGTTGGCTAGGCTGGTCTCAAACTCCTGTCTTCAAGTGATCCACTGGCCTCTAACTCCCGAAGTGCTGGGATTACAGGAGTGAGCCCCTGCGCCTGGCCTCAACCGACTTTTTTAGACCACAGGTAAATGTTAGTTTTACTTAATGATTGTAATTATTTTGATATACTCTATATGGAAAATAAGGAAAGTATTTTTTCCCTTTTAAAATAAGGAAAATATATAATTACGCTCTATTTTTTTTTTTTTTTTTTTGAGACGGAGACCGGCTCTGTTCCCCAGGCTGGAAGTTCAGTGGCACGATCTCAACTCACTGCAACCTCCGCTTCCTGGGTTCAAGCAACTCTCCTGCCTCAGCCTCCCAAGAAGTTGGGACTACAGGCAAGTGCCACCACGCCCAGCTAATTTTTGTATTTTTAGTAGAGACGGGGTTTTACCATGTTGGCCAGGCCAGTCTCGAACTCCTGACCTCAGGTGATCTGCCCGCCTCGGCCTCCCAAAGTGCTGGGATTACAAGTGTGAGTCACCGCGCCCGACCTAAATATCCTTTAAATCTAGTGTATCTATGTGACTATAATGATGAGAAGTCAGGATGCCTTCCCTACAGCTAAACAAAGACTTTTCTGAAATGTATATTTGGAGACCCAGAATTTCACCTTATTTGAATGCAAAACACTTAGAGGAAATAAATCTTAATAGAAATGATTTTTACAGCATTTCGAACACAAGAATTGTAGTTTAAAATATTGTTCTTTAAAGCTATAAGTAAACCAATGTTTCCAAACTGTTTTTTCTAGAGCAAAATTTCCTAGAACCAAAATAATCTTGAAATTTTAGATTAAACAAAGCAAAACAGATTAAATCACCTCCAAGTTTCTCAGAATCTTCAACATACAAATGGCTGTTAATATCTCAAAAAGGAATAAAAACTGTTTTTCCAAATATATACGAGAATGACTTTTTTTCTCCCCTAGAATTAGCTATTGATGCCAAGCTCAGTGTTTCTCATATAGTTTAAAACACACGGAAGTAAATTTGCTGTTCCCTTATAAACATATCCTGATAATATGGAAACATTTATTCAACTAACTAATAACAAAACAGGCAACAAATTAAAACTGATTCAAAGGGGAATTCAAGGGACTGAACACACATAGTCACAGAAAGAAAAAGAAGCTAGAACAAGATTGCTAAGTTAGAAACAAAACAGATTAACATCAAAAAGTGCAATAAAATTATATATTTTGAGGGTGCCAGAAAGATATTACTTGTCTCTCTACTGAACAAAAATGTGTACATTTATGTAAAATTTCTCAGAATCTAAGCCCTAATCAATAGTAAATACTATAGGGTGACTATAGTCAATAATAACTTACTTGTACATTTTTAAATAACTAAGAGTATAACTGGATTGTTTGTAACACAAAGGATAAATGCTTAAGGTAATAGATGCCCCATTTATTCTGATGTGATAACTATGCATTGTATGTCTGTATCAAAATATCTCATGTGCTTCCAAATTATATGCACCTACTATGTACCCACAAAAAAATTATCTTTTAAGTTAGTACTAAGTTATACAAAGACGCATGTCCCTAACAAATTAAACTATCTGTCGGTAGATCTTTTAGACAATACTTTTTAGTATGATAATAAAAGAACATCTACTTGTTCTTTTGCCTTATTTCCAAGTTTTAGAGTTTAACAAGCTTGAATGTGTCATAATTACTCATTTAATTACTCACGTAATTACTTAAGTGTCAGGCATTGTGCTGGGGACTAGGGAGATGATAGGGAACTGGATAAATGCCCATACTTTTTAGAAGCTTACTAATGAGGGATAATGACATGTAAACAGGAAATTGCAAAGTGGTTTGATGTATGTTAAAACATAGTTACTGTGGGCCGGGCGCGGTGGCTCATGCCTGTAATCCCATAACTTTGGGAGGCTGAGGCGGGCGGATCACGAGGTCAGGAGTTCGAGACCAGCCTGGCCAATATGGTGAAACTCCGTCTCTACTAAAAAAATACAAAAATTAGCCGGGCATGGTGGCACGCACCTGTAGTCCCAGCTACTCGGGAGGCTGAGACAGAAGAATCGCTTGAACTCGGGAGGCGGAGGTTGCAGTGAGCCGAGATCACACCACTGCACTCCAGCCTGGGTGACAGAGCAAGACTCCATCTCAAAAAAAGAAAAGAAAGAAAGAAAACAAAAAGAAAAAAAAATAGTTACTGTGGGATGTTGAGATGACACACAAGAGATATTCCTCCTGTAACGTCAATTCTAGGTATGTTCCAAAAAGGAGACATCACCTAAATGATAAACTGGAGTTAGCTGGGTAAAAAGTTGAGGTGGGAGATGACATTTCCAGAAGAATAACAGAAGCTAGAATAGTGACTTGTATGACATGATTAGTACGTACAATGTCGTTCTTGAGGGATGGGTGGGTTCGGTGGGTGGGAAGGGGTGAATGTAAAGAGATAGTGCAGAGGCCAATTAATGGAGAGATTGGTAGAGCATCTTATAGAATTCAGATTTCACTTTTGGGGCAATGAGAATTTGGCATAATGAGTAGCATTATCTGACTTACATTTTAGGAAAACTCTTTTTGATAACAATTGGGAAAGTGGATTTGGGAAGTTTGAAGAAGGGAACGTGGCAAATAAAGAGACAAGGAATCAGGAGGCTATTGTAATCACTCAGGTGAAAAGGTGGTATAAACTAAGGTAACAGCCATGGAAACAGAATGATCACATCAGTTAATTGTTCAACTTACATACAAACCACAAATCCAATCAACTAATATTTCAAACGTGCAAAATATGTTTGGCAGGGGTTTATTACGAATGTTTCTATAAATTATGTCTCTATACACATATCTATACATATATATACATACACACCTATATGCCTATATATATATTCCATAGTTTTGTGAAAGTGATGGTATAACAACAAAAAATATATTCTGTCATATCCACTGATCACAATAGACTTTGTGCCTCTGGTTATTTTGCAAATCATTTAACAATTAGTTTTCATTTAAAGGAAGTTTATAAGTTAAAGTAAACATAAGACAAATTTATTCTTGAATGTTAAGCCCTCAGCATCGAGGACCATGAAAATACTGATTAATTAGTGTGACGAAGGAAAACATTGAATTAAGTCAACTAGTTATTCAGTTAAATTTATTTTGAAGAAACCGCAGAAGGTTTTCTAGGGGGAAGATGACACAATCGAATATGCTTTTTAAAACATTCTGGCTGCATGTGGAAAACTGAATCACAGGGGTGGGGGAAATTGAACATCTGTTTTAGGGGAACTGCAACAATCCTGGCAAAACATGATGGCTGATGCCAAGGTAATGTTAGAACAGTGATCTCGAGGGAGAATGCAAGAATGATACCCCCAAACCTGAGAAGTTTGGCACATGATGTCTTTCAATGAGCTAGAGAAGGAGGAAGAATTGCTTAGAAGGCAGTTTTTGATCTCATATATACTGATTTTGAATTAACTATGTGACATACATGAGCATAACTGATGGGCAGGGGGATAGGTCTCTAGCTCAAAAGAATGATTTTGGTTGGATATAAAAATCTGAGGGTCATGGTTAAGAGTTGTTATTGCTATGGATTTTGATGAGATCAAGAAAAATATGTTGATTGAGCATTAAGATTGAAGCTCAACGTTAAAAGAGATTTACGATAGGAGAGCAACCCTCCAAGAAAATGATAAAGTTGCCCTGAGACAGGAAAACTAGAATAGTGGAATATCTTAGAAGCCAGGGAAGAAGAGTTTTTCCAATAGGAAGGACCGATCAACAATCAATACTACAGAGTGGTAAGATGAGGCCTGATGTGACTTGGGCCGTGACAAAATCAATTTCAGTTGAAGGATGTGGAAGCAGCCGGATTATTGGTGTTTGAGGTAGCTACGTGAGTAAGGAAGTAGATACAATGAGCATAGAAATTGTTAAAGAAGTTTAGCTTCAGGAGTGGAAAATAACAAGTCGGTAGGAGATTAAAAACTAATAGCAGAATGTCCTATTTGTTACTACAGGCAACACTGTATTGCAAGTTAAAATAAATTAGTTAAACCTGACACAAATGCCTGAACGCAAGAAAAAAAATTAAAGGGTTTCTTCAACCAGACATTTGTATTTTAAGCATTTTATTTTGGCAATCAATTGGGGAAATGAGATATTTTCTCCTCAAAGGTAATGCTGTAGCAGTTATAATTGTATTCCAGGACTTGCGGGCTACTATTACAAATACTCATGGAAATTAATGAATTTTTATCCCCCTGGCTCTGGAGGAGTGGCTGAAAGCACCGTGTTTTATAGTCTGACAAATTTGGGTTCTATTCCCAGTATCTCTGGATACCAGCTATATGACCTTGAACAAAATACTGAGCCTCTTTCAAAGCCTCAGTTTTCTCATTTGTAAACAAAGCAGTAACAATAGCTCTTTTATAGAATCATGGAGAAGAATAAATAAAGTAATGAATGTATTGTCTACTACACTGTCTCTCAACCTAGAGACTATATCAAAATCCCCTGAAGAACTTCTTATAATACCTCTCCCAGAATTCATTATCTAGTAGGTCTCCGCACAGCCCGAGAATTTACATTTCTTACAAATTTCCAGGTGATATTGCGGGTCTGAAACATACTTTGAGAACCACAGCTTTAGCACATAGACAGTCACATAACAAAAACCAATGAATGTAAATATTAGCATTTCTTTGATGGAGACAGCCC
Source organism: Homo sapiens (assembly GCF_000001405.40). Taxonomy (NCBI): domain Eukaryota; kingdom Metazoa; phylum Chordata; class Mammalia; order Primates; family Hominidae; genus Homo; species Homo sapiens. The sequence continues at coordinate 33,056,171 of NC_000023.11, forward strand.
CAGGCTGCCTACAGCAAGATGTTCCCTTAGGTTCCTGAAAATAGAAAGTCCCGCATGGTCCTCATCAAAGTCCGCTGGATTCCTTCAATACCTCTTCCTCTTTTCTCACATGGGCATTAACATCCCCACTCCTCTACCTTCTAACTCAATTATCTGACCCCTGCGCTCTTTTTTTTTTCTTTTTCTTTTCTTTTTTCTTTTCTTTTCGAGACGGAGTTTTGCTCTCTTTGCCCAGGCTGGAGTGTAGTGGCACGATCTCGGCTCACTGCAACCACTGTCTCCAGGGTTCAAGCGATTCTCCTGCCTCAGCCTCCCAAGTAGCTGGGACTACAGGCATGCGCCACCATGCCCGGCTAATTTTTTGTATTTTTAGTAGAGACGGGGTTTTACCATGTTTGCCAGGCTGGTCTCTAACTCCTGACCTCAGATGATCCGTCTGCCTCAGCCTCCCAAAGTGCTGGGATTACAGGTGTGAGCCACCGCGCCCCGGCCCCCCTGCGCTTTTTATAAATTCATTCATTCATTCGTTCGTTCATTCATTCAATAAACTCTGCTACAGTATTCAGAGACTCTTTTCTGCCATATTTGCTTTGATCTAGTTAACACTTAATGAGTTTATATACCATAATATCCCTTTTACAGTATCCTGTAACGAATCTCTTTATCATTTCTAGCTTATATCATGGAGTCTGTGACAGACAACAAGATTGCCTCTGAACCATGCCCTCTACTGATGTGGGTATTATTATACTGATGAGATTTCTTCTTTCTCGTTCTCTGTTATGAAAAAGCAAGCTCATGGCCCACGGGGCTCATAAAAAATGTACTAAAGGCTGAGAGCAATGGCAACTAATGATATACGTGTAAGTACATATTGATCAAATTAGAGATGATTTTTTTTTTCACAGCTCAGTGATGTGTCTAACAATAGTATTCTGGGAAATTCCATATATACATAATATAAGCCATGGCTTTATTCAGATAGAACAAATGCCAGATAATATTGTTAGGAGCTTCTACAATAGCAAAATTCAAAATCACATTATCATTTTAAAACACATAAAATGGCTCACTTTTTTTTTCTTCAGTGCCTGTCCATCTTGTTTAGAAAAGACTTGATTAAAGCCACATCCACTGATAGGCAATGGAAGTTAGATTAGATACTTGTGTATCCGATACTGTTTAAAAGACTGGTTCTGTTTTATAATTTGAATTAAATGGTAACTAATCTTTTTTTTTGTAGGAGCTTGGGCTAGGCAAAGTAAGGAATAAAGAAATAAAGTTACATTTTCTATGACTAGAGGTATTTTAGAAGAAGTTGAATGCGTACTTAATAAAATGTGTGTTCTATGGAGATTCTACGCATGCATAGAAAACTAGGTGAAATAAAAATTCTGCACATTTCTGTAAGCAAGTATCAAGGAAAAAGAGTTCTGAACAATTGCAGCACCCTGTAAGTCTCCTTCATGCTCTTTCCCAATTCACACTATATTCCCACCAGCCTCTCAGGAAGAAACTGCTCTGCTGACCTGAATCATTATAGATAACTTTGGCCAGTTCTCAAACTTCATATAGATGGAATCACACAGTAAATGTTCATCTTCTAGTCAACATTGTGTTTATGAAGTTCGTTCATATTCTTCCAAGTAGCAGGTTTTTATTACTATATAATATTCCACGGATATACCCAATTTTTGTTTTTTGTTTGTTTTTTGTTTTTGTTTTTGAGACAAAGTCTCGCTCTGTCACCCAGGCTGAAGTGCAGTGGCATGATCTCAGCTCACTACAACCTCTGCCTCCTGGGTTCAAGCGATTCTCCTGCCTTAGCCTCCTGAGTAGCTGGGATTACAGGCGCCTGCCACCACACACGGCTAATTTTTTGTATTTTTAGTAGAGACAGGGTTTCACTATGTTGACCAGGCTGGTCTCTGACTCCTGATCTCAAGTGATCCGCCCTCCTGGGCCTCCCAAAGTGCTAGGATTACAGGCGTGAGCCACCTCGCCCAGTCTATACCGCATTTTTAATTCTAATTCTGAGGGACACAAGTTATATCAGGTTCTGCTATTATGCAAAATGTTGCTATTAACTACCTTGTGCATGCTATTTTGGTGGACTTAATTTCTCCCCTTTTTTGAGACAGGGTCTGACTCTGTCCCAGGCAGGAGTGTAGTGGTGCAATCACGGCTCCCTGCAGCCTCAACTTCCTGGGCTCAAGCCATTCTCTCATCTCAGCCTCTGGAGTAGCTGGGACTACAGGTGCATGCCACCATGTCAGGCTAATTTTGATTATTATTATTTTATTTTTTTTTTTTGTAGAGATGAGGTCAAACTATGTTGCCCAGGATAGTCTAAAACTCCTGGCTTCAAGTGACCCTCCCACTTTGGCCTCCCAAAGTGCTGGGATTACAGGCATGATCCACTACACCTGGCCTACTAATTTCTTTTGAACACATACATATGAGAGGAATTGCTGGCTCATAAGGAAGGCATAAATTTAGATTTAGTAGATATTGGCAAATATTAATTTACACTTAAACCAGCAATATTTGAGAGCTCCAGCTGAGGCACCAATTCTCCCCAATACTTGATATTGTCTTATTATATTTTAACCATTCGGATGCATATATAGGGGTATTCAAAATTCTTTGATTACTAATGAAGTTAGGCACCTATTCAAATGTTTTTTACCATCTTTGTCCTCTTTTATGAAGTGCCTGTTCAAATATTTTGCCAACTTTTAAAAAATGGGTTGTCTTTTTATTGATATGTATGAGTTTATTATATATTATGGATACAAGTTTTCTAATCAGATATACGTCTTGTGAATATTTTTCTCCCAGTCCATGACTTTTCTTTTCACTGTTATTAGTGTATTATAATAGATAGAATTCTTAGTTTTAATGAAGCTCAATTTATCAGTGTTTGACTTTGTACTTAGTGCTTGTTCGGTCCTAATTATGAAATCTTTGCTTAGCCTGTATCTCACTCGTAGATTATTTTACTTATGACTGGAGATTGCCCACCAGATGTAACCACTTACACACTAATGGTCACAGCCATATTCTCCTTGACTATGTTTACTTAATCACCATTGGCAGAGACTATGTCTCGTCTAATATTCTTTTATCCCTTATTCAGAGACTCTCATATTATTGTGACTGTAAATTTTCTTAGCTAAAATAATTTCCCTCTATCTCTCTCTGTCTCACTTTCTTTCTCTCTCTCTCTCTCTCTCTCCAACTCCCAAAGATATATAAGTCGGATTTATTGGGCACAGCTACCAGGAAAAGGGGTTCAAGAAGGGTTACAGAGCAAATGAATAATCTTTTGCTAGGGCTGAGGAGTCCAACTCATGGCCTCGATATAATTTTTGAGAATGGAAGCTGGGAATAGAAGATGTCAGGGAACCCTGGGGTTGTTAATAGTATTGAAACAACCTACCTTGCAGTACTTTTGAGAGAGATATAAAACCATCACCCTGTTCTGAAGCTCGAGCCCTAGCTTATTATTTTCCCTTTATCAATTCACAAATAAAAGCAATGAATTTCCTACAAATACTTCTTCTTGGTTTTGAAGGTATGTTATAGAATAGAAAAAGTCTTACAAAGGTGTATTTTCACATAGTGGTTGGTGATGGTGGACAGAAATTTTTAAAAATCATATGTACCCTTCATTTCATATTTTTATAACAAAATGACAATTTAATCAATGTATTAAATTTTCAAAAGAAAATGCAAATATCTGTTCTACATAGATTGAAGACCAAGAATTTCTGCCAGTGATACCCAGCCAAGATTAGTTTTCAGTTAGTCTTTTTATACCATCTTTCAAAACAAATGGTAATGTGCGATCCTTATACTGTTAAAGAAAAAATTATTCAATGTCACTTGCTGAATCACGGTAAGGCAGGCTTTATTCAAGACCATCTCAATAGGTATAGGGACCGTGAAAATAGGGTCTTGCAGTAGGGGAGAGAGATTGAGCTCAATTTGAATACAGCACAGGCAAATGGGAATTTTATAACCAAGGAACAGGGTAGGGGTCAGTGGATGGAAAATTATTAAGAGGAAGCATCATGGGTAAGGGAGACTCCTGCTGAAAATAGTCCAGTCATCCCCTGGAGGATGGTGGATGATGAGGAACATGATCAGATATCCAGGATAATCAAATACCAAGGATGAGTGTTTTCTGGCTAAACTGATCTGGCCTGCTAAAACTAAATTTTAGGAGAATGTGCACAGACTGGGCTATGAGAAGGTTGGGAAGCCTGAATAAATTTTGGCCGAGCAAATAATCTTTGTCAGTACTAACATAGTTAATAAACAGAGAGTACCCCAGTAATTCATTTATGAAAATGTGTTTCAAAAAATTCCAGTCTCGACCAGGCGTGGTGGCTCACGCCTGTAATCGCTGCACTTTAGGAGGCAGAGGCAGGTGGATCACCTGAGGTCTAGAGTTCGAGACCAGCCTGACCAACATAGTGAAACCCCTTTCTCTACTAAAAATACAAAAAAAATTAGCCGGGCGTGGTGGCATGCACTTGTAATCCCAGCTAACCGGGAGGCTGAAGCAGGAGAATCGCTTGAACCTGGGAGGCAGAGGTTGCAGTGAGCCAAGATCATGCCACTGCATTCCAGCCTGGGCAATAAGAGTGAAACTTCATTTCAAAAAAAAAAAAAAAAAAATCCAATCTCTTTGAAAGTTATGTATCACTTGACAAAAACATTTCCTTTGTGACGTAGGTTCAGAAACATTGGGTTAAACTAAGTTAAACAATTTTTTTAACTACAAAACATTTCAGGGTTGAGTTGTGACTCGCTAAAGAAGGAAATGAAATTATCACATTTTAACAATTTGTTTTTCATTCAACATCTTACGGGATCAATGTTCTTTACAATTTCCATTTGGAAATGCTGTTCTAGACTCATCCGTTATATAAATTATACATTTAAGAGGATGTTGGTTCTAAATACTTTAACTTGCTATCAAGGCAGAAATTTAAAAGCAAATTTGCTCTTGTTACGTTATTCTCTTTTATATCCAAGAGAAAAAGAATGTTAAGTTGAAAGTTATTTTGCTCAGGGACACTTACAAAGATATATACACATTCAGTAGACACTTGCATGACATTACATTTGAAATTGGATATATCTTTTAGCTTTTTATACACAGATCATAGTATGCAGATTTTAAGTGGTGGAAAATGAATCTTTTAACATTCAAAGTGATGAGCTTTGGAGAAGGCTGTTTTAATCTGTTATACTGCAGGTGTAACTCCTGGTACACTTGTAGGTTAGTAGTGATATTGTAGGCATATTCGATGGATCAATATATATGGAGTACTTGATATTCAGATATTCAGTTCTCCCCGATGCCTTAATCTGGGTGTTGTTTTTGCAGTGGTTAGGAGGAAGGAGAGGAGGTGCCAAGATTCAGACACTGCAGAAGAGGATTATATAAGCAGAAATAATTCCATGATGCGGTTTTGTACCTGTTTACTACAAATCAAAGGTGGCTGACACAACTTTGTCCCCAGGAATTCTATAATGGTTAGACGATAGCTGTAAATACGCTCCTGTGTTCCTTCCAGAGGTGTGTGGGAAACCCTGAGAATGGGGTGTGCATTTGCCCCTAGTTAAGGGTCAACGAAATCTAAGGCAGAATTCAGCTACAGGTTTAGAGCTATAGTCTCTTTAGAGTTCCAGGTGTCCCTTTTACTTAAAACTCTTTTTTTCCCTGACATTTTAAATATAAGTTTCCCTATTCACTTTGCAAAGCTTAGTTAATACTGATATGTAACAAAAATTATTCGCTACACTTGAGCATGTCTCTTCTCCATAAAGATCCAGCTTTAGATAGCAACTCTTCTCATAGATCTGTAAGTATTGTGAGAAGATAATTAAAAGTTTGATTATTGTCCATATAAATAGACGGTAAGAAAATACACATTTTCAGTATTGAATAAAGACTTTCCTTCTTCTCAGCAGAAGTTGATTGTATTCCAGAAAAGGAAAGAATCCTTCCTTTCATAAGGGCAAATTAAAATGCAGGAACTCTGAATTTGGGAGTCTGTTTTTCAAGATGAATAATCATCTTTGGCAATAGGATTCAAATGGCACAACAGAAGGAATTGAATTGATATTGAATAATCTGAATTCTTGATCCAACCTCTATTTTTGAATATGTACATTTAAGATCACTTTGTGCATTTAACTCTCATTATGCATAATTGCATAACTGGACAACAATATTTGTTTCTTCCTGGAATTCAAGGAGTTTATTCTACAATTTTTGTTTTTATTTATTTATCTATTTATTTTTGAAAGATGGAGTCTCGTTCTGTTGCCCAGGCTGGAGTGCAGTGGTGTGATCTTGGCTCACTGCAACCTCCACCTCCCGAGTTCAAGCAATTCTCCTGCCTCAGCCTCCCGAGTAGCTGGGATCACAGGCGTGCGCCACTACGCCTGGCTGGTTTTTGTATTTTTAGTAGAGATGGGGTTTCACCACGTTGGCCAGGCTGGTCTTGAACTCCTGGCCTCCGGTGATCCACCCGCCTCGGCCTCCCAAAGTGCTGGGATAACAGGCGTGCGCCATTGAGCCTGGCTATTCTACAATTTTTAGAAAGGTAGCAACTTCTTTCCCCACATGACATTAAGTTTTTTATAATACTAAATATGAAGCTTTAATGCACCAAACATACTTGCAATCATCAATAAACATATGACATATCTCTACTAACAAGCAGATTGGAAATTATGGCATCAATTCACCATCTGTGCCACACAGACTCTAGTTTTGAAACTCTTATTTGAAACAGAAAGTTATATATGAGCATAAGAGGACACTGCACATGGAGTTCTTCTAACTTTATGTGTAAATTTCTACTTAATAGAATATATACTGTTATAAGCTGCTTCACTTATTGTTAAACCTATATACATATACATTAATAAAAAGTCATTAATATTGACCTACAAATAATTTGAGTTTTAAAAAATTATTATTACTGTACTTCATTTTTGGAACAGGAATCAAATTATAATAAAACTAGTAGCACAGAAACAGACAAGATTACTTTGGTTACCAGAGACTCTGCCAAATTTTCAATGATAATTTACATATGAAAAAAATAGAAGAAAAAGTAGAAAATGTTACCATGGCAGTAAAATATGCATGTATTTGAGGATGATATTCAACAGGACTTACCTGCAACAAATATAAAAAGGGAAGTGGAAAAATTCACTAAATCCCTTAAAATGTTAAGTACTGAGGGTGGAAAGTAAGATAGATAATAATTATAATTTTTCCTAGAATGAGGGTAAGGCTCGAGTTATGAAAACACTAACACCGTCAGAGTAAGTCTTAAGGGAGAACCACTTCTGGAATTCCCTGGTTTTGCTCCCCGGCTGATGTACAGAACATATGTCTCTAGAAGAATAATCAAAGGCATTACAAAGAACCCTCTCACTAATTGCTGATAGTTACAGTACAGTCCTAGACACCCATAGAGGCAGTTCTTTGCCCCTACTACACATCAGAACCACCTAGAGAGCCATAAAATATTACCTAAGCCCATACCCCACCCCAGACCAACTGAATCACTATCTCTATGCCGGGGCTTGGGCATATGGTTGAAAATTGCAGTCCTAGATGACCTGCTACAATACACACACACACAAACACATTTTCAACTTCATGTACTCTCATACTTTCCACTTCACGCACTAGCACTTGTTCCCTGTACCTTCCTAAGTCCACTTAGAAAATCAGATTTTACATTTTTAATTTTTTCGTGTGTGCATTTTAATGAAAGAGTATCACTAAGATAAAATGTGACAGTAGGCAACCAATTTCTTTCTTCACAGAGCATTGAAAATAGACATAATTGATTGCCTTAGATTCATGCCCATATATACATATATATGCACATATATACTTCAAACTCATTTTGATAGGGCACAGTAGTGATTTCCTGGTGTAATAACAATCCGTTCATTTTTCATGTAACATTGTCTATATGATTTTATTATACTTTTTATACATAGAATGAAATATTTGTTAATAAATGAAGAACTAAGGGCACTCACTCTATAGCAAAAATGCCACCTCTACTAGTAAGAAAAAGAAATAAACATTTTCTATTATTGCGGCAACTTTCTAAAAGGAAAAAAAAACACAGGAAGACTATCACATAATGAAATCCTTTAATTGTTACTTCTTTCTCTATCTCACTCTCTTTTGTTTCATCCAAGAAAACTATTTAACTATTATATAGTGATATGTAATTAGAGTCTTTCAATTAAAATTGTTAAGCTACAGATTGTTGACACCACCGAATATACTTGATTAAAATAAGTATAGATGTAAACAAATGTAAACAGAATTGCACTTAAATGATATTCATTATTTAGTTCATTTATTTAAAATGCATTGATGGCCAGACGCGGTGGCTCATGCCTGTAATCCCAACACTTTGGGAGGCTGAGGTGGGTGGATCACCTGAAGTCAGGAGTTCAAGACCAGTCTGGCCAACATGGCAAAACCCCATCTCTACTAAAAACACAAAAATTAGCCGGGCATGGTGGCAAGTGCCTGTAGTCCCAGCTACTTGGGAGACTGAGGTGGGAGAATTGCTTGAACTTCAGAGGCGGAGGTTGCAGTGAGCCAAGATCGCGCCACTGCACTTCAGCCTCGGGGTCAGAGAGAGACTTCATCTCAGAAAAAAATAATAATAAAATAAAATAAAATAAAATGTATGGAATGGCCAACCACCATTCTACGAAGTAAGAACTGAAAGTCTAATAAGCAAAGGTCTCTACTTCTCAGAAGCTCTGTTGGATGATACAGGTTTGTGTACAAATATTACATTAACATGGAAAAAGTGCTAACATGCAGTAGAGGAGGCATAAACTTGCTCGATTAGGTTTGGTGGTTGGAGGTTTTACAAAAGAGATGATGAGGCAAATTGGTGTTTACCTACACTTGACAGCCCCCACCCATAGTTAGTATAAAATGTAATTATAATTTTGTGTATACAGTACTTGAAAAATTATTACAGCCAATCACAATAGTGGATATAAAAATTCCAAGTCTATTTACAAGGAAAACATTCTGGCCAAATATGACCATAAATATTTGTGCTTACAATACCTAGAAATTTCAAATGTTTGATATGTTAAATATTTTTATTTGTAGAGTTCTTCACTTTCAAATATAGATTACTTTTAATGAGATAGAAACAATTATCAGTTTGATTCATTAAGGGACAATATCACTTTACAGAAATTTACATGTATTTATTAACATGTGAAGCACTTTAGTAGATAAAAAGGACATTTTTGTATCACTTAAAACATTAGGATGAAATTATGAAATGTACATGCTGCCTACTGGCACCAAAGATTATAAGCCGGTCTCACAATTGGCTTTTCATTATATAAAGAACACCCATTATATGCTTGGAATTCCTATGCCAGCAGGCATACAGCAAATGCTGGAAGCCCATTGTTCATAACTTTACTTCTTGCCAAGCATTTCAGTTATATTTTCTTTGGTTATATAAAGGGCCAGAGCTATTTTAAGTGAAAGAGGTAGCCATCCTCATCTCACTATATGACAGATGTCATATTACAATGCCCTACATAATAGTATGCAAGGGCAATGCTACCTCCTTCGACCTGGTGTAAAATTCCTTAGAATTACAACTGTGTGTTTAGACAATAAAACCGAAGGATTTGCCTCAAATATCAAAACTAAGTGCAAATGGGCAATGCTATATAGATGAGCAGGAAACATTTCTCACTCTCCTCTAAGTGAATGCTAATATGATTTCATGAATTGACACAACTAAATTTTGCTTTATAAGAACATACATAGCCAAAGGATTTAAAAAAAAAAAAAACCACCTTAAAACAAGTTACAGAGGGTTAAACGGAAGCAAAAGTAGGTAGCTAAGTATTAGGAAGGGTGGAATAATGTCTAGGAAACGAGAGTAATAAGGCCAGGTGCAGTGGCTCATGCCTATAATCCTAGCACTTTGGGAGGCCGAGGCGGGCAGATCACTTGAGGTCAGGAGTTCAAAACCAACCTGGCCAATGTGATGAAACCGCGTCTCTACTAAAATAAAAATTAGCCAGGCCTGGTGGTGCGCGCCTGTAATCCCAGCTACTCAGGAGGGTGAGGCATGAGAATCGCTTGAACCTGGGAGGCAGAGGTTGCAGTGAGACGAGATCACACCACTGCACTCCAGCCTGGACAAAACAGTGAGACTCTGTCAAAAAAAAAAAAAAAAAGGAAGGAAGGAAGGAAAAAGAAAAGAAAAAAAGGAAACAAAAGTAATAGACTAATCTTAGGAAGCTGGCTGGAGTAGAATGGCATAGAGCCCCCAACGGTACCAGCAATGTGGGGTAGGTAGGACTCAGCTCCTAGATCTTCTTATGGTCCTCAGGACATAAGAAGCACACTAAAAGGCCTATAGAGGATAGATGATGCCCATTTAAACCTTTAATTCTGCCTAAAGTTCTGCCAGGTTTATGTACGGGCATAGTGCACATAAAGCATGCATAAGAATGCATATTTTTTGCCTTGCCTTTAGTTTTTCCAGGTTTTCATGATATTAACACCAACGATTATGTCAGAGTTATGCTTTGTTTTTTCTCAATGGGAGAAATCCAAGCATAGGCCCCCTAAAGAATGAAATGTAAAACAATGACTCCTGCCTGATACAACCAGAAGGAAGATTGACAATACAACATGAAAAGTCACGGAGTAAATTATTTTCATACAAGTGGAGAAATTATTTTCAGGGAATTCGTAGACCGACAGCTATTCACAGGCCATCAAACACCCATAAGGACCTTTGTCATCCTTCAATCACTTCAGTAGAGAGAGAACATGTATGAAAGAGACAGAAAACACAGTTAAATAAGCAATTCCTGTTCAGTAAGTGTCTGCAGGGAGTTTTTCAGAGTGTGTACGGATAACACGTATACCTACTCGATCCTACAAGTGCGTGGTTCTGAACAGAAGCAAATTTGAAGTATTAATAACAATGAAGATGGAAATAGGGTTGTTGAAAATTCTGTATTTAATGAGTGAACTCAGCGACTGCAGACACAAAGAGTGTGGATTCTCCGAATGATTATAAAAGCCTTAATAGAAATAAATGATTACTAATTGGAATGGGACATGAAAGAAGATAACCTTGTTACAAAGATTCCAGGCAAAGAAAGAAGAGATGGTTCCAATTACAATAATCAAAGAGGTGATTTTCTTAGAATATGGCTAAGGAAACACATTTTCATTCATTTGTTTCATTCATTTTTTTAGTGCAGTGTTTGGGAACTAACCTCAGTACTAGTGAACATATGATGTTAATTCTTTAGCGAGGCCAGGAGCGGTGGCTCACGCCTGTAATCCCAGCACTTTGGGAGGCCAAGGCGGGTGGATCACCTGAGATCAGGAGTTCCAGACTAGCCTGGCCAACATGGTGAAATCCCATCTCTACTAAAAATACAAAAAAAAATTATCCGGGTGTGGTGACGGGCAGCTGTAATCCCAGCTACTTGGGAAGCTGAGGCAAGAGAATCGCTTGAACCCGAGAGGTGGAGGTTGCAGTGAGCCGAGATCACACCACTGCACTCCAGCCTGGGCGACAGAGCCAGACTCTGTCTCAAAAATAAGTAAGTAAATAAATAAATAATAAAAATAAAAATTCTTTAGTGAGATGAACTGTTAATGGTTGATTCCATAATACTGATTCTCATTATAAATTACTGTAACTTTTAGTTGTCTTAAATATTAAACAAAATAACAACAATAGTGCCAACAAGTGCTGCTAGTGCTGAAAATTTCTTCAGATTGTTAGAGGAACAGTATTTCAGTACATATATTTTGTTACAATTTCGAGAAAGAATTCAAAACCCAGAATGGGAATAACAAAGACCTTTTAGAGTTGTGTTTCTCAAAGAAAGACCCCAGGAATACATGACTTGTAAAGACCTACCAGAAGAATATCATTTAGAATGGGGCTTTAGAATCTGCATTTTTAATAAGCATTCTAGGGGATTCTGCTGTATTCTAGAGTTTGGGAAGGACTGCCTAGTAGATTGTAAGGCCAAGGTAGTGATTAATTGATCTAGGCTAGAGTAAAGCTGTGGCTGAAATATTTTTCTAAGTTCTCCCAGTGAGTCTAACAGCCAGGAGAAAGAACACCTGTGCATTGGCAGTGACAGCGGAGGAGGTATTGTACTTTGCCAAGGAAGTATGCACAGAATCATTTTTATATAGGTAATAACTGTATATCTAACAAAACTCTATTTCATTTCACTCTTAAATTCAGAAAAAAAATACATGTAATTCAAAATAAACGTTATCACTGGATATGGTAGCAAAACAACAGTGCGTAGATATGTGCTTATGTTTCCGTGTGAGTTCTATCTATGTGTGTGCTTATATATGTGTACACACACATATACACAACACATACAGTGAGAGAAAGAGAGGCAGTTTATAATCTTCCAACATTTTTGGCTTATGTCAACCTGTAGGTTAAAAATCTGACTTTGTGATGCCAAAGAGGAAAGGTATAGGAAGGAGCAGAGAAAATAACTCAAATATGGTTTACTTAGGTATGGGAGGTGAAAGATTATTTGTGGCATCATTACAGCTTTGTGAAACAATTGGCAAGGTTGTGCAAAGTACCATCTTGATCAGTGAAGCTTTTTCCCTTAAGGATGGATTACAAGTGTGTAATTCAACCTTGACTTGTAGACCTCCATTTCCTCTCTAGTTATGTGAATGTGCACCATACAATACAAAGTTCTATACCTATTACTTTAAACCAGTAACGTTTTATTGTACTTAATAATAGTCTTAGGCTATCTAGGTAATCTCTGTTTATAGGTGTTTACAAAGTAATATTATTTTATGTAAACTAATAAAAACGTTGGTGCTAATTGCTTTACACATTGCTTGGAAAAGCAAGCCATTTTTGCAGTTGAGTAGTTGCTCAGCACTATTGGCCAATCTATTTCTATAGCTTCTTGTTTTTCATCTCCTTCAACAAGTTCATCTGCCAATATTTTGCTCCCCGTGTTGCTCTAATCTCAATTTCTATCTTAAAAAAATACAATGGTAAGGGGGTACTTTGCAAGTTAGGCCTAAGAAGGAGACTGATTTCCCAAGGATGTTCACGTTGATTTATTGCCTTTTAAAATACTAGTTGCACAATGAAATGACAAATTCTGCCAATTTACATACTATTCCTAGTGTCATTCTTTCAATTTTTCAACCAGAATTCATATACACAGAAAACATGCTTTTCTTGTTTCCTGAGTTCCTTCAAGCAAAACATAATTCTATAATGAGCAATTATAGCCTAACACCTGCTGCTATGAAGAGGACCTTGTCAACATCTATCTAAATTGAAGAACAACAGCATTCCTTGATTTTGGGAAAATGAGCAATAAACGAAGTCCATTTCTTAGCAGAAAAACTCATAGGCAATGTATTCCAAGGTAGCTCACAGAATAATCAGGATTTAATAGAATTAGATTTTTTACCATCATTTGAGAGAAAGTTTTGCTCTGGGCTAAGTATTATGGTTAAGGAATCCAAGAAAAACACTAAAATTCCTGGATCCCTTACAGGCAATATTTACTTAAAATAAAACCATCCATAAAAGTCCTTCTCTACTATAGTATCTCTTCCTGTTTTTCTTATGAAACAAGAACTCTGCTCAAGCTGAAAGGTAAACAAATCGGATAGAAGCATCATTTGAGCTCAAGCCATATCAACAATCTTGTGGATTTACATTGCCAGGAAATCTTTTTTCAAAATTATGCCGGGATAATTACATCAACAAAAATGGAGGCAGAAATCTTGGTATAATATCAAAAAGATGGGGGAAGAATAGGTTGCTGGAAAAAGCCTGCTAGCAGATTGCCTAGAAAGAAAAATGAAGCCATTCTAATATGTTAAAATCTCATCTAAACATTGAAATAAATGATTATTCACTTACAGAGTAAACAGATATGTTTAAGTGTATTTTTTTACGTAGTCACATGTATATATGATGTTTCTGTGTGCCTATGTACACGCACACATACATACACACACTTGAACGTCAACTTGTACGTATTAATAGTGCAATAAAAAATGTTGTCAGGGATGACTTCCCCTCTGGCATTCCCAGCACTATGACTGACAGCTCTTACTGCATCAATAGAAGAATTGTATTTAAACAAAAGTTATGGTACAATTCCTAGGTTGATGCTTAATAGACAGTAAATACTACAGGAACTACCAATAAGCTTCCTTATTAAATAAATGTATTTATTCATTTGATCTTATGTAAAGAACACAAAAGGTAAAAGAAAAAAATTAAAAAAGAGTATTTTATTTTTGTATAATTAAAAAATCTAGTTCCTTCTTCCTGGATTTGAGGTATCTATATCTGTATCTATCCATCTCTCTCTCTCTCTCTCTCTCTCTCTCTCTCTCTATATATATATATATATATATATATATATATATATATGTTCATATCTATATCAATATTGATAATGTTTCTTTACTTCTTAAATAAAGAATTACCTAAGCATCTTTTTTCAAGCGGGAGAATGAAAACACAATTATTCTAAGATGGCGAATATTGACAAGGGAATGAAATGGTGAAAGCAAATCTATCTAGAAAAAAGGGCCCCCTTAGCCTGAATGAATAGACCAGTGAATGAGGAAACAAAATGATTAAATCAAGTCTTTTGAAAGCACAGCATTATTGTGAGACATATTGTAAAGATCTGTGCAGCTATTCTGCCCTTCCTACATACTCATTGCTCTCTATTATACAAAGAAGGAACACAGAGAAAAGAACATTATACTTGAAGTTAGAATACCTGGGTTTGAGTGTGACTTTATCACTTACTAATTATGTGATCTTGAACAAGTTACTCAACCTCTTTGTGCTCAGTTTCCTTTTCTAAAAAATGGACATACAGGCCGGACTTGGTGGCTCACACCTGTAATCCCAGCACTTTGGGAGGCCGAGGTGGCAGATGACTTGAGGCCAGGAGTTCAAAACAAGCCTGGCCAACATGGTGAAACCCCGTTTCCACTAAAAATACAAAAATTAGCCAAGTGTGGTGGCACATGCCTGTAGTCCCAGCTATCTGGGAGGCAGTGGTTGCAGTGAGCTGAGATCACGCCACTTCACTCCAGCCTGGGCAACAGAGTGAGACTCTGTCCTGATTAAAAAAAAAAAAAAAAAAAAGGATATACAAATATCCAGGGCTAATTGGAGATTCAGATTTGATAATGCATAGGAAAGATCCTAGTACACTATAAGACACCTTACATTTATAAAGTAGTATAATTGTCATCCACATACCATTATTATTACATCATAGTGAAAAAATACAACTTACAAGAGTTCAGCTGAGCTTAAAGAATATATTCATTTGAAGCCCAATCATTGTTGTGTGAGCTTCTTCATATTATCTTATTTCAATTATTATGCTTTTATCTTAGACTCTAATTATATATCCAGTTTTACTTACGCCATTAAATGAATTTTAAAAGGAGTCACATTAAATAAAGGCCCTTTAAATTTTTTATGAGATAAAGAGTTGCCATAGACACACTCTTTTGCATCTTACCCGGTACAGTCAAACTCAATTAACTATTCAGACTGGCAAAGCATCTTTTACATTTTTCGTAAAGATTCTAAGTGAAAAGATTGTACTATTTTTCAATTAAGTTATATATCTTTCAAAAATAGCTGGTAGATTAAAGCAAAGGCACTGTCACAATCACAGATTCTATTTAGTGCCATTTAGAGGACAAAAATGAAGCCAGCTAGACTTGAAAATGTGTTCATAGTGATTTTTCAATGTATCAAAATCTACTAAATGGAACATTGAATGGCAAGTCCAAAGGCATGTGATGGTTAAGAAATCTGGTCACAGGCCCAGCGCGGTGGCTCACGCCTGTAATCCCAGCACTTTGGGAGGCCAAGGCAGGCGGATCACCTGAGGTCAGGAGTTTAAGACTAGCCTGGTCAGCATAGTGAAACCCCTTCTCTACTAAAAATACAAAAATTAGCCAGGTGTGGTCGCAGGCACCTGTAATCCTAGCTACTCGGGAGGCTGAGGTAGGAGAATCATTTGAACCTGGGAGATGGAGGTTGCAGTGAGCCACGATCGCACCACTGCACTCCAGCCTGGGCGATAAGAGTGAAACTCTGTTTCAAAAACCAAAAACAAACAACGACAAAAAAATCTGGGCACAGATAATTACACAAGGATTTCACATAACCTCTCTGTTATTCATTTAGAGATGTCTAAAAGTAATTCCTGAGAAATTTGGAATTTTTATTGAACATGTCAGAATCTTCTCTAAATAACTTCTGAATCACCTGTAAATGCACCATTGATTTGGATAATGGTGGAATCTAGCTGTGGAATAAGTTAAAAGGTCATAAGGCCTCCAAGGGTGAAATTTCAGTGAGGTAACCAGCCAGGCTACGGAGCAGCTCGGTGAGCATTTCATCAGTTTGGAGTAGAATATGGGGAGATGATACCTTTTCTCAACTCAGGTAAAAAGAATTTGACCAAGTTCTCATACCAGCTTTTATGTTACACAGCTGTTTATTACCATCAATGTTTTTGAAAACTGGGCAGCATAATTTCCATCATGCTATGTCCCTGGTTCTACTTATTATTTGGACCTCCTGATTTACTGACTAAAACTACTATTTAATTATCTGTATACAAATTCACCGGCCATTTTCCTTTGAGGTATCCCTATTTGGCCAGAAAATTTAGAGCAAAAGATGTTCAATTCAGAAATTTCTTTTTAATGTTATTTATCAGTTTTAACTGATATACATAATCTTTCACTTTACTGTCAGAGATTTATAACAAAATTATCCAGTGATATCTACTGAATAAAAAAGTAATGTTTATCCTCAGTATACCAATTGTTCAGTTTTGGTGCAAGGTGGTTTAATATGTCACAGCTCTAGGTAAGAATATAGTAAGAAACCCTGAGAGGGACATGTTTAATTGTAAAACTGTGAAGCACATAAATACATACTTACTATTATCAATAATAATAGTTACCATTTAAATATTGCCTGCTATATATCACAAAGCACTAAGAGGCTTAAAATACATTTTTCTCTGTCCTGTACAATTCTATTTAAAAATAGGCAAAATTTCTCCACTTTGTATGTAAGGAGAATGAGTCACAAAAATGTTAAGCAACTTGATCAGGCCCAACTGCCAATAAGTTTGAAGACAGGATTCAAACCTCAGTTTGCCTCTCCAAATCTCAGGAACTATACCAAGCCATGAGTTACATATTAAACAGCTAAGGCAGGTGGGCGTGGTGGCTCATGCCTGTAATCCCAGCACTTTGGGAGGCTGAGGTGGGTGGGTCACCTGAGGTCAGGAGTTCGAGACCAGCCTGGCCAATGTGGTGAAACCCCGTCTCTACTAAAAACACAAAAAATTAGCCGGGCTTGGTGGCGGGTGCCCGTAATCCTAGCTACTCGAGAGGCTGAGGCAGGAGAATCACTTGAACCTGGCAGGCGGAGGTTGCAGTGAGCCGAGATCGCATCACCGCACTCCATCCTGGACAACGAGAGCAAAACTCTGTCTCAAATAAATAAATAAATAAATAAATAAATAAATAAATAAATAAACAGCTAAGGCTAACAGTCAATATTAAAAATTATAAACACTAAAGTGTTTCTCTAACTTATTATTTTGCATTTAACAAAATACCATTTTCCCATAAAGTCTATTGTTAAAGCAAACTAAATACGGCCTGAGAAGGACTCCGTACTTCTATATTTGAGTCCCTGTGGATGAACTACAACCTATCTCAATAGGTAGACAAGATTGAAAAACTAACTTAGGAGTATGGGCCTGTGACAATCACTCAGTCTTGGCCAATCCCAGCCGCCATTCTTCAGCCAGTTATACACTGCTGATTGTTCAAACTGTGTTCAAATAAGGCAAACAGCGAGCTGTAACCAATCCAGCTGTTTCTGCATCTCACTTCCGATTTCTACATGTCACTTTACTTTTTTTTGTCTATAAATTTATTCTGACCACAAGGCACCCCTGGAGTCTCTCTGAATCTGCTGTAATTCTGAGGGCTGCCTGATTCGCAAATCGTTCATTGCTCAATTAAACTCCTTTAACTTTAATTTGGCTCAAGTTTTTCTTTTAACACTATATTTTTTTTTTTTGTCTTTTAGCATCATTTTTAAAAATAGCATTTAACTCCTTTGATTCAGTGGTTGCTATGGTTTCACTATTTATCCCCTCCAAAATTTAACCCCCAGTGTGGCAGTATTGAGAGGGGAGGCCTTTAAGAGGCACTTGGATCATGAAAGTTCTGCCCTAATGGATTAATGAGTTAATGGATTAATGCATTATCATGGGAATGGCACTGGTGGCTTGATAAGAAGAGAGACCTGAGCTAGCAAGTTAGCATACACAGCCCTCCTGCCATGTGATGCCCCAGGCCATTGGGACCCTGTAGAGAGTTCCCACCAGCAAGAAGGCCCTCACCAGATGTGTCCTTTTGACCTGGGACTTCTTGAAATGGTCTTTGCAAAAATTATAACGGTGAGAAAATGATGGAAGTGAAAGGGATCTAATCTAGCCAACTCCTCTCTTGCCTTTAGCCTTCAAGCTGCTCTTAATTATTCCTGGGCTTATGCCAAGCTAACTTTGGGAGACATTTATAGTTTAAATGACAATAGCCCTTCCCCAAAACTCAACCGCGTTTGTAGAGCTAATGAGAGACCACCAGGCTAGGAGGATAGGGGAAACTAAATTCTGCTGCGGTGTAGACATACAGGATTGCCAGCCATTATTCCAGAGGTCACAAGACACGCGACTTCCCCAACTACTCTTGCAGACAACATCACTATTGTAGAACTTAAGATTGGCCTTTTGAGATATCTGTTCAGATATATTTCATGTCTGATGACTGATGGCTCCACCTGCACCTGCCAACTGCTCCTGTGGCCCCGCCCAGAAGAGACTCAGTGCACAGGAGGACCCTTGCCCACAGTCCTATGATTGCAATCCCTACCAGTCAGCAGCAAGCACCTATTGCGTAGCTTTCCACATGCCTTTCCCCAAACCGATCTTGAAAACCCTAGCCTCAGACTTCTTGAGGAGACTGATTTGAGTAATAGTAAAACTCTGATCTTCTGCTTAGCTGGTGGCTGTACATGTATAAAACTCTCCATTGCAATTCCCTTGTCTTGATAAATCAGCTCTACCTGGGCAGCAGGAAAGAAGAACCTATTGTGCAGATACATTCTGAGCCTCCATAACTGTAAGAAATAAGTTCCTTTTTGAAATAAGTAACCTAGTTTCAGGTATTCTGTTTTATAGCAACAGCAAATGAATTAATACCGAGCAAATGAATTAATACCGTATTGGGATATCTTAGATGTTTTGGCATTGAAGCTTTGTCTTACGAAAATGCATTCAGGTATTGAAACCACCATTGCAAAATTATAACTGAAATAGTGAAAGAGATCTGATGTAACCAACTCCCTCTTGCATCTAAGCCCCAGGCTGTCCTTGCTCATTCCTGGGGGTAAGCTGAAATAACTTTGGGAGGAACTTAGTTTATAGCTTATGGTTTAAAACAAAGGCAATGACAACCCTTCCCCAAAACCAACCTCCTTCTTGCCTGGGGACTAGACTGCCTTTGTAGGACTAACAAAATAGCCAAAAGATTAGAAATTACGGTTTAGTAGTCATGCAGCTAGAGACTACAAGATACTGCTTCTCCCCAAATTGCTCCTGGGCATAAAGTCACCATTGTAAAGCCTAAGATCAGTGCTTGAGACGTTTTGCAGACCCTGCACTCGATGGATCAACTGGTACCACACAGATCAATAAACTGGCTCATCTCATCCTATGACCCCCCACTCAGGAACTGACTCAGGGCAAGACAGCTTTGACTCCCTATGATTTCATCTCTGATCCAACCAATCATTACTTCTGACCACTGGCTGCTCCCCACCCACCAAATTGTCCTTAAAAACCCTGGTCCCCAAATGCTCAGGGAGACTGATTTGAGTAATAATAAAACTCCAGTCTCCCATACAGCCTGCTCTGCATGAATTACTCTTTCTCTATTGCAATTTCCCTGTCTTGATAAATCAACTCTGTCTAGAGAGTGGGCAAGGTGAACCTGATGGCAATTGCAGTATGTATGTATACCCAACATCTTGTATGTAATTTTAAGGGATGCAAGGATCCCAAAATAAACTAGAACTTTAGGGTGATCGAGTGTCTGGTGTGCCTGGGGGCTAAGCAGGTTTGTGGGATATGGGACTTTAAATTTTAAAACTGAGAAATTCCTGAAAAACAAAAACAAACAAAAATAAAACAAGAAAAGTTGGTTACCCTAAAATGTAACGTTTATATAGCACTTTAATAAATACTATTTACTAGAAGCTAAGGCTTTTGGTTATGTATATTATAAATTAGGCCATAGGGCAAAGCAAGAAAATGAAAGCTTTACTAGGTCAAAACTGTGACCGCCCAAGAGGTTCAACTCGCCTGCTGCCTGGACAGAGCCGATTCATCAAGACAGGGGAATTGCAATAGAGAAAGAGTAACTCCCTCAGAGCCAGCTGTGCGGGAGACCGAAGTTTTATTATTACTCAAATCAGTCTCCCCAAGCATTCGGGGAGCAGAGTTTTTAAGGATAACTTGGTGGGTGGGGGGAAGCCAGTGAGCCAGGAGTGCTGACTGGTCAGAGATGAAATCACAGGGAGTCGGAGCTGTCTTCTTGCGCTGAGTCAGTTCCTGGGTGGAGGCCACAAGATCAGATGAGCCAGTTTATTGATCTGGGTGGTGCCAGCTGATCCATCAAGTGCAGGGTCTGCAAAATATCTCAAGCACTGATCTTAGGAGCAGTTTGGTGGGGGTCAGAATCTTGTTGCCTCCAGCTGCATGACTCCTAAACCATAATTTCTAACACTGTGGCTGATGTTAGTCCTACAAACGCAAGTCCCAGGCAAGAAGGAATTTTGCTCTGGGAAAGGGCTGTTACCATCTTTAAACTGTAAACTAAGTTTCTCCCAAAGTTAGTTCAGCCTATGCCCAGGAATGAACGAAGACAGCTTGGAGGTTAGAAGCAAGATGGAGTCAGTTAAGTTAGATTGTTTTCACTGTCTCAGACCTAATTTTGCAAAGGTGGTTTCAATCCCTTCCTTTGGGTTTTCTAACACTTTAACCCTAAGGTATAGGCTATAAAGATGGGAAAAGGCCGTCGATCGCTCTGGCTTCTTCCTGCTGATGGGGGAAGTAGCGGGAATGGGAACGAACTCCAAGGTGAGAAGAGTGGAACTGCTTTGCAACTGTTTGAGTGGATTCATGCAGGCCTAATTGGGCTTCCAAGGCTTGCGTGGCAGAAACATTATTACTCTCATCTATAGTTTTACTACAGTGTTTATGTGAATAGCCTACTATAAGGTATAATGAGTCCTAGGATGAGAAGTACAATTCCCAATTTTAAAAGCAAACATTTGAAATCATTAGTTTGGGAACTTCTAACCCACAAACAATTTAGAATTTAGTCTAAACTGAAGAATTAACCTCAAGAATAGCTAATAGTTTACTATAGATTTTCTTTTGAAGCATAATATTTCTCTGTTCAGTCCCCATTTTTATTAAAAACAAATCATGATAGAAATGATTTGCTTATAAAATGCATTTTAGTCTTACTGTACTTGGCCTGATTATTTGCATGAAGTGCAGCAAGAATAATTATTTTTCACTTAGGCTTTTTAAATTGGCTTTGATGGAACTCTGTTCCATGAAGAATCTCAGATAAGACTTTTTGAAAGCCGAGCCCAGCCATGGGTTTGTACCCTCAAATACCTATGAGTTGACCAAAGTCCTCTCCTCTTGAGGTCCCAAGATAACTTGGGGTTCCTGGGCCTGTTAGAAAGTGACATTCTTTACTTACCACAGGTCAGGAACCTTGTACAGGGACTCTGTGTGGACAAGGTATGAGGCCAGATTCCCCAACGGGCTTTAAATGGCTCTATAAGTCAACTTTGATTCTTTAAAGGAAGCATGCCATTCCAGTCAAAGCCTTGGTAAAATGACCAATTTCTCCAATGGTGTCCTGTTACAAAAGAAAACAGATTCTTATTGCACGTATGCAATTAACTATACTGTCATAAATTGAGAATACTCACAAATGGTTTCCAAATTCTAGAGAAATCAGGTAGAGAGAAACAAATTTGCTCCAAAATTTGTCACTGAGTGTATTTTACTCACTCGGTAAAAGTGGCAAATAGCTCTAAAGAAATAAGTTATGTTGACTCTGAAAACAAAAGGATTAGCAATGTTTAACACATCAGTTTGCCACATTTAGATGTTTTTTCCCTCTATTCCAAGAGCATAATTTTTAAAGTTATCTAAGACCTGCACTCAGAGTATTATATCCGATTATAAACTGCCTTTTGAAAAGGACCAAAGCAAGATAAAATGTCTGTGGATGACAAAAGTCTACAGCCATTATTAAAGCTACAATTGACTAGGAATTTTGGTTACTTCCGTGGCACACAACAATTTTACATAACAATTATAATTATTAATAGTGAAATCATATCAGAATTATAGAAGTTTCCCATAATTTTTGGAACACACACTAATAACATATTTATACAAATACAGTCCAAAGAAAACCAAACACCATTCACTCTTCTATTTGAAAGTTTTCCTTCTATTCTAACGTCACAATCTCCAGAGTTATTAATCAGAAACCTGCATTTAAGACCACCTGTTACATTTTACAGCTGGTATTAAAACCATTTTTTTTTGAGACAGAGTTTCTCTCTTGTTGCCCAGGCTGGAGTGCAATGGCATGATCTTGGCTCACCGCAACCTCCGCCTCCTAGGTTCAAGCGATTCTCCTGCCTCGGTCTCCCGAGTAGCTGGGATTACAGGAATGATTTTGTATTTTTAGTAGAGATGGGGTTTCTCCATGTTGGTCAGGCTGGTCTTGAACTCCCGACCTCAGGTGATCTGCCCACCTCGGCCTCCTAACGTGCTGGGATTACAGGCATGAGCCACCATGCCCGGCCTATAAAACCATCTTTTAAGAGGACAAAAATGAGACAACAATTGCCTGTGGACGACACAAACATTGTAGAGTAGCCAGAGTTAAAGACACAATCGACAAGGAAATTTGTTACCTCTGTGGCACATAGCCA
Organism: Homo sapiens; assembly: GCF_000001405.40. Classification (NCBI taxonomy): domain Eukaryota; kingdom Metazoa; phylum Chordata; class Mammalia; order Primates; family Hominidae; genus Homo; species Homo sapiens. The sequence continues at coordinate 33,079,441 of NC_000023.11, forward strand.
TTTAACATAATTACAATTATTACTGATAACATATACTAAGTCATATTAGAATTATAGGAGTTTTACATAATCTCAGAACATATGTCAATCATATATTTACACAAATATAGCCCCCAAAAAGCCAAACACCATTTCATATTTGACAATGTTTCCTGTATGATTTTTATGCAAAATACGCCAAATGTCATTTTTGGACTTTAGAGGACCTAATATCTAAAAGATTAGGCCAGAAAGAGACATAATTTATAATTTGATTTTGGAAAGTTTGCCAAATATCAAAGGTTTAAAACACTGGATATCACAAAATAGAATCCCAGGTCACCATAAGTCATTCATTTGACCAAAACGATAACTCCAAAATCTTAAAAGAAAAACCTTTATTCTGACAGAGGAGACTTAGCTTTCCAAACAAGACCCAATAAAGACAGCATGAGGATAACTGAATTTGTCTCTTCTCTCTCCCCTTTTCCCCTGCCATTTACCCAAAGGAGAAAGCCAAACCCTTTCATTATCTTTTAACGTTACAAAAAAATCGTCTTCAAAAGAGAAAACCAAATTTCATGTTCGCATTAGTGCATCTTTAATGCTAAAGCTAGTTTTTAAATAAAATTTTATGTATCTATCCAGTTTTAATTAGTTTGACCACAAGGTGACATTCTCATAAACTTTTTAGAACGCTTTATAATTTTCCATTAAACAGCAGATCAATTTTCTAAGAAGACCCTGTTATTTGGACACATGGGCCCAGATTCTGGCCCCACAGTATGACTTTAATATTTTAACCTATAGAAAAAGCTAAATAACCTTTTTCAAATCTTAGCCAACTTGTTTATACCCACAGAATTTTTTTTTTCAGGATCAACCCTGTATAAACCCTTTTCACTTTGCTTAAACCCTCAGTTTCGTTCCGTTACTCTTTTAGTTTAAGACAGTCTTTAAAACCTCTGAACTAGACAAAATTACATTCTCTTCAACAAAAGCCATATTCCTATGCCTTATTATCTTTCACCAAAAACACATTCCCTACACACCTTGTATGTAAAACTGTTTCTCCAGTAACCTCGATTTCATGTTACAATGTTAACTCTTAGCAACTTTGATTTTTAGTGAAAAACCTGATAAAAAAGCTATTTTAATTATATGCTAGGGATGGAGCCTAGGACATCAGACAGAAGTGAAGATAAGGTCTGACTCTTTTCAGCATAGCTAGGGGCATAGCTCTCCACGTGTCCCCAGGCCTCATCTATAATATAATGCTCCAAAGTAAATAAATTGAACAATTTTCCAAAGTCAAGGAAACAGTTTGACCTTAAAGAATTTAGCAAATCTGATAGCTGACCTTAATTTAGACCAAATGTCTACATTTTCAAGATATTTTACTTTAACAATAATCTTTAAAATTGTCTTTATTGCCAAAAGATTACTAAAGTCATGTGAACAAAAAGTCATCAAAGTTTCTATTTTTCTGACAAAATATTTTTTTATTTAAGCACTTATTTTCCAAGCCAATTAATCAGAGCTCTTTTATAAACATCACACACACACACACACACACACACACACACACAAAAACACATGTAAATACAGACAGAAGATTTGGCACTGATAAGACTTTTTATTTGCCAGTTTCTTAATCAGATTACTGGCTTCAGGGTGGAGCCTTTGGAGGAACAGGGCCAGGAAAGTATGCATTTCTAAGGCTTAATCACAGCTGAAGGCAAAGACAGAACTCCCAAATTAAGGGCACCATTTTATACTGCAACCCAAAAGGAGAGAAATACTACGGGAGAAGACAGTACAGTGCTTCTACCCTACATTTCTTTTCTTATTTTTGTTTCTTTCTTTCTTTTTAAGACGGAGTCTCGCTCTGTCACCCAGGCTGGAGTGCAGTGGTGCTATCTCAGCTCACTGCAACCTCCGCCTCCTGGGTTCAAGGGATTCTCCTGCCTTAGCCTCTCAAGTAGCTGGGATTACAGGCATGTGCCACCACGCCTGGCTAATTTTTGTATTTTTCTTAGAGACGGGGTTTCACCATGTTGGCCAGGCTGGTCTCAAACTGCTGACCTCAAGTGATCCGCCCTCCTCGGCCTCCCAAAGTGCAGCCTCCCAAAGTGCTTGGATTACAAGCACGAGCCACGGCACCCGGCCATACCCTGCATTTCATTGCAAGGCAACCCAAAGTCAATCAGCCCATTTTGTAATCAGCCCGTCCTTCATGGGAGTCTGATCTCCCAGTGGAGGGTGAGGAATGTTTCCTTATCTTCCGGGTGACCAAAAGCATGCTTCTCTGGATCCAAGTGTGCAAAGAGTCAAGTATCCCTGTATAACTACCATTAGCCATCCCTTAAAGTATATTTCCTATCTAGTTATTACACACTAAAGCTCCCTCATAATGTGAAGTAATTTCTGATATCCCCAAAACTCAAAACCATCAGATAACACAATGAAAAACAGAGCAGAGTCTTTGATTTTGAGAGGGATCCATCTGTTTTTAATTCCTGGGGTTTCATGTGGAAAACAGTTTTTTTTTTTTTTCCCTAAAACGGGTTCTGTGGTGCCTCCTCTGTTTTTCCCAATGAGTCCCAGGCTACCAGAAGTTATCTTAGGGACTCACGTGTGCGTTAAGAGTGGCAAGACAAAAAAATTAAAAAAGAGAAAAAAATGGAGAAAAATAATTCAGTCGGCTGAGAAGAAAAAACTTTTTCCAAAAAAACAAGTTCCAAGAAGAGAAAAACATAAAGGCCTTTTAAATATATCTATAGCTTGTTTATCCACTCTTAATTAAGCTGACTTTTAACCATAGTGCTCTTTAAAAAAGAAATTCTTTTAGATCTCTTATTACCTAATTTTAGCCATGCCAAGTGGACAATATTTTTAGCTTCTGAACTTTACCAAAGGAAACCTCCTAGGTGCTGCAAAGACATAGTAAGAAGTTTCTTTTTACAAGATTTAGAATCTCCACAAGGTAGTCCAGAGAAAGGAAAATTCAAGAGAGGAAATCAGAAAAGAAACTTAATAAATGGCAAAGCTACACAAATAACAAATCAGAAAGGAATCATTCCAGAAGCCAACAATTGAACCCAGGCCACCACTGTCAAAAGACAAAGCCTTAGCTACTGAGCTATATACAGCGTTGAGAAATTTCTACTGCTTTTCCCAGAAGGAGCCTAGAGAAGCCAGTTTCAGGCTTGCAAGGCTTTTAACTGCTCAAGAAAAATCTTAGGAGTAACTATGACATGAACCCCAAAATTCCTGTCCTCTGGATGGTAGAAACCAAAAGAAAGTATCCCCACATGGTCACAAGGTTAAGCTCTTAAGGACACAAAACAAGACAGAGAAATTTCATAGAGTATTGGTTTCAGGGACCTGTAGCAAAGTTTGTAGCTGACCAGCCTCCCAAGCTGACTTGAAAAGCAGACTTATGGGTGTCCTAACCCACGTTCTATCACGTGATATCCCTCTCTCCATTACATAACACAGAAAGACAAATTCTTAGCACAAACTACATCAGATGTGCTAAGATTAGTCTCACAAATCCTTCTTTCTATTAACCAAACCCTTGCAGAGGAGACAAATAGTTTACTATTTAACAATGCAGAGAAAGAGAGAGAGAGAGAGAGAGACCAGAAACTTGACTGATAAGAATTTCTTACCCTTATTGCTGGGATGCCAGGTTTCTGGGTTCCCTTTCTCTGCAGCTTCCAGAAGAACGGAGTGGCGTCTTACGACCCTGCTTGCTTGTGCTATAGCTGTGGGGTTTAAGCCACTTTACAAGATAAAATCACCCTTTACCATTTTATGGAACCATAAACAAGATTCTTAATTTGCAAGATTCTGCCCAACGGGCTGCATGGGGAACTGAATTAACATTTTCCAACCCAGCAAAATACACATAACAAAACAGACATTAGTCACCTCTTTCCGCACCCAATATCAGCCTGGCAAAGCTCAAAATTTTTCATCTTGGTCCCTGTTGTCTTTGATCCACACCAGGTGGGGACGGATGACCTCTGAACGGTAATTCACAATGAGGTCTCTGGGCAAGGGAAAGAGCAGATAGTCACCCTGAGAGACAGGACTGTTGAGCCTTCTTTAGAGCTCACTGAATGTGACCAGACAAATAAGGAGGGTTCTCTGAGTTAGGCATGCTGGACTTCTATCAGCAACCCCTTCTGAGATCCCTTTCACATATTTAAACACATGCAAAGACAAGAGGGACAGAAGGCCTTCCAAATCAGATCCCTAACCAAGAAGTCCAAGAGTATCCCTTCCAAACTATCCTCCTATTTTCTGTATGAGAAACCTCCTCAAAATCTTCCTGATTGAAGAGAAGTCTCCCAAACCAGTAGTCTTCCTACTAGTTAGAAAGAGCGAACTGAGACCTCCCAGGAGCTGAACAGACACCCCACAATGGAGTAACAGACAGAGACACCCCATGCTGGATCTACAGACACCCCACAATGGGGCTACAGACACCCCACCATAGGGCTACAGAACCAGTCAGGAGAATGAAGCAGGCATTGGCAGCACCTAGGATACTCACCAATCCAGACACCCCAAAACGGAGCTACAGATAGACACCCCACCATGAGGCTACAGATACCCTGTAATAGGGCTACAGTTAAGGGACATCTCCCCATGACTATTTTTCCATTGCAATTAAGTCCACGCACATTGGGTTGGAATACCCCACCAGTAGACAGAGTAACAGAGTCAGCCCCCAGTCCAAGAGAATTAGGCAGCCACTTGGGCTGCCTTCTGGATCCATCACTGAAAGGGGGCCACCAAACAACAGGCAGGTAGCCACAGGGGCAATCCTGGGTGAGCCCCCAAATTTGTAACCACCCAAGGGGTTCACCTTGCCCACTGCCTAGACAGAGCTGACTCAGCAAGACAGGGGAATTGCAATGAAGAAAGAGTAATTCATGCAGAGCTGGCTGTGTGGGACACTGGAGTTTTGTTATTACTCAAATCAGCAAATCGGTCTCCCCAGGCATTCGGGGAACAGAGTTTTTAAGGATAACTTGGTGGGTCGGGGGAAGCCAGTGAGCCAGGAGTGCTGACTGGTCAGAGATGAAATCACAGGGAGTTGGAGCTGTCTTCTTGCGCTGAGTCAGTTCCTGGGTGGAGGCCACAAGATCAGATGAGCCAGTTTATTGATATGGGTAGTGCCAGCTGATCCATCAAGTGCAGGGTCTGCAAATTATCTCAAGCACTGATCTTAGGAGCAGTTTGGTGGGGGTCAGAATCTTGTTGCCTCCAGCTGCATGACTCCTAAACCATAATTTCTAATACTGTGGCTGATGTTAGTCCTACAGAGGCAATCTAGTCCCCAGGCAAGAAGGTCTGCTTTGGGAAAGGGCTGTTATGATGTTTGTTTAAACGATAAACTATAAATTAGTGGAGGTTAGAAGCAAGATGGAGTCAGTTAAGTTAGATCTCTTTCACTGTCTCAGTCCTAATTTTGCAGTGGTGGTTTCAAAACCCTTATACTTTATTTTACCATAAACAAATGAGCTTTTAGTAATGAATTCTAATGACTGCAATGGGGTGGGGGTGGTGAGTTAATTGTTATCAGTTGTACAAGGTTGTTTTATTGTAGCTCAAATGTTGGAGGAAAGGGAAGCTTTATGGTATTATGTTTCATTAAACTAAGATAGGCTTTCAGAATTGTACAAAACATTTTTAAACCTATATGTATTACTGATGATTTAAGTGAGTGTATCAGGGAAATAACTTGTTTGGTGAAAAATGGAATATGGCCTGAAAACATAACAACAACTTCGTAAGTTGTCCATTTTCTCATAAAAATAATATTGACTTACTTATATATTAAATTAGTGATTCAATTTCTAAAGGCCTTACAAAGATATAATTCAGTATTTTATGGTAATTATTTTCTAATTAGAAATTTACTTTTACTATAGCACTAAGTGCCACCAGTATTAATTATTGTTATTTCCTTACACCATACTTGTTCCTAGTAAAACAAGCTTCAGCCACTGTTCTCTATAAAATATGGTGTCTTCTAGATGGGAACAAGAATATTTTACAACACATAACCTCCCATTTCTAGGGTTGTGACAAAATGCATTTTATTTCAAATGGCACGCAATATTAAAACAACTCAGTTTATGTTTCATTAATCAAGAATTCAAAACAACCTCATTTTGTAAATCCATAATATGCAAACTTGGCTACAGACTGTCCAATCAGATTTTATTCTCCTTTCAAGTCAGATTTTCCTTATCCTCTTTACTTACACTATCTTACCAATAGGCTGTCAGATGCTAGTATGTTCTGAGACATTCAGTATCTCTTATCACTCACCACTCATATACTCTCAGGGATAAAATTCTGTAGAGGCACTCAATTCGCATAGAAACAACCATAAAACCCAGTTTTGCAAATATTAAGTTAGAAAACAATTGGCATAGCATTACACTATGGTAATACTTACTATGCACTCCTAAAATTTAGTGTTGATCTTATGCCATGATGTAAAAACAAAAAAAGAAAAAAAGTTATTAGTACAAAGAGAAAAATGTCAGATGTGTATAATATAACCTCTGATTTGACTAAAATATGTGATAACATTCACAAGCCAGAATTGAGTAGAGCTGGCAGTTCACAGAAGGCCTGAAGCCTAGATGTAATCAATGACATAGCTGAACTTGATAAATCAACACATTTACATAAGGAAAATATCCCTGATTATCATAGGATTGAACCTTCTAAATTATCTGTTGACAGTCAATATTCTGATCATTTTCTTCACTGTGAATTCAGACAGACTATCATTCAAAGGTTTGCTATACAGAAAGAGAAAAATACCAAAATGCTAAGGCACAAATATCAAATCTCTTTCCCATGAAAATCAGATAATTTAGAATTTTTTAAAGTTAACCTTGAAATGTGACTATGTAATTAAAAAAAATAAAATACTTTTTTGTGATAAGTCAAAAACTAATTATAAGGTAGAACATTTGCTAATATAGATTTCAAAGCAACACCTGTTAATAACATATGTTCCCATTTTAAAAGTAGGTAACAGAAATTAATAACTCATAGTTATATAATGGGGTTCCAAGATTTTATAGTATGAAATGTGGTAAAAGGTTTGGTATTTATTATAGGATGTGAAAGGCCCCCTAAAGCACTTTTAATTACTCATTCATGAATTGCTAATTAATACTTCCAAACTAAAATATTAAACACTTTAGAAAGACTGACCCAATATTAAAATCCAAGCTGTTAGATTTTAAAGTGTATGTTAAAAAATATTTAAACTATAATATCTCTTAGTGTATATATACACACAAATATCTGTTTTCATATATATGTTTATATATATTTTATATATGTATATAATATATATACATAGAGAGCGATAGAGGGAGATAAAGGAAGGGGGTTTTGTTTGTCCAATATATTTTAGCTGACCACATCATTTTATGTATTTTTTTATTTAAAGGGCCAAGGAATAAAATAAGAATGCGAAGGTAGAATGCAGCACTTTATCCTCAATTAGAAAAATGCAGAGGAATTTAAATAATTAGACTTTTCCACAAATGTTATGTTTGTTGCCAGGAAACACAGGTGCTTCTAAACTCACTGCTTTAGGCCATGCAAAATTTAGGAGACAGGCCAATTCCCCTCCTCTAGGGAGGAAACTTGTCAGTCAGGAAAGCTCAAGAGATTAGCATCCAAAGCCAGTTTACTTCTGGGGCTGGTTAAAAGCTTTCAGAGGATTCCTGTGTAATTGCTAAATATTGTAGGCTAAATTAAAGTTGTTATTTAAAATGTAAACATCAATAGCAACTAACATTTGATTCTTGCTCTTGGTATAAAAAAGCAATAAAATTATTAACACCTTGGAAAGATTTGAAAATTCATTGGTAGCATTAAGCAAGTAAATATCTAGCATTTAGTTCATATGGCGAGACCAATTGTGAGAACTTAAAATACATATTTGTGTTGATGATTCTGGCTACTGTTTGAGAGGTTATATTGCCCTCTTCCCCAAGGATTTCTCAAGAAATGTTTATTTGATTTGTATGATACATTTCCAGCTTTGTTCTCAGAAATGTCTTTTCTACTCACATTCATTCATTCTGTTCAGTACAATACTGTGTTCATTATGCTGAGGCTTTAAAATTAGAAACTGTGGGGGTTTGAATCTTGTTTTTGCCATGTGATAGCTGTGTGACCTTAGGCATATTTCACAGCCTCCCAGTAAAATAAAGATAAAACAGATCTTTCTTCATAGAAATTATTTCAAGCATTCAATGAGGATATTAAAATACAGAACTTAGCACATGGTGACAAAGGAAGTACTCAATAAAGTTGGCTCTTATAATTATGATGTAGCTACCCTCACCTTCTTGATTATTTCTGAGTTCTTTTTGGATCTTTATGACTTCTTTATATTCACTAGTCCCTCTGCTTACGATGAATTTTTTCTATGTCTATTGAAATTCTAGATGTCTTCAAGATGTCACCTCCTTTACGAAACTAATCTTAGCTCCCCCAAACTGAATGCATCATTCTCTGCTTTGCGGCCCATAGCTTCCCAAAGTTACCCCTATTTCAGTATTCAACTCAATATATTTTATTTTATTTTTATTGCTTTTTGAGATGGAGTCTCTGTCACTCAGGCTGGAGTGCAGTGGTGAAATCTCAGCTCACTGCAACCTTTACCTCCCGGAGGATTCAAGCAATTCTCCTGTCTCAGCCTCCAGACTAGTTGTGATTACAGGCATGCAGCTAATTTTTCTATTTTTAGTAGAGACAGGGGTCTCACCATGTTGATCAAGCTGGTGTCGAACTCCTGACTTCAAATGATCCATCCGCCTCCGCCTCCCAAAGTTCTGGGATCACAGGTGTGAGCCACTGCATCTGGCTTTGACTAAATATATTTTAATTGAGTTAATATGGGATCTGCCTTACTGTGAATTCCATGAAGGCTGTGAAGTTATTTAATTCTTCTGTACTTTGTCCAAAGCCATGGAAGCACCTTGCAATTGGTAGAATTCAACACTGGGGGAGGATCTTAAAGTAACGAATAAATATGTCACAATCGTATGTGCATTAGAGAGCTATGGATTCTTTAATTAAGAAGCTGCTAAGAGCTACTCGGGAGGCTGAGGCAGGAGAATGGTGTAAACCCGGGAGGCGGAGCTTGCAGTGAGCCGACATCGCGCCACTGCACTCCAGCCTGGGCGACAGAGCGAGACTCCATCTCAAAAAAAAGAATAAATATTAATTACCAGATGACATATTAAATATTTTTATAATTCTGATATTAAAACTTATAATAAAATAACTTTAATGAGTGGCTTGGAAATTAACTGTTTAATTTTCAAAGAAATATTTTGCTTTTTTGAAATGAAATAAAGACATTTCTTGTTCATTAATGACTGGCTCTGGTAAAAGTGACACAAAAAGGTGAGTGTAACAGTGTTATGGAAAAAGATGAAACAGGATAGTAAAATAACTGAGAGATGAGCAAATAGCCTGGCCCATCCAGCAACGTAGACACATATATCTAAATGTGAAGTTGGCGGGTTCAAACGAATATTGGCGCCATGAGGAGGCTCATGATATCTATTGCTACTCAATTCATTTTTTTTTTTTTTTTTTTGAGACAGAGTCTTGCTCTGTCACCCAGGCTGGAGTGCAGTGTCACGATCTCGGCTCACTGCAACCTCTGCCTCCCAGGTTTAAGCACTTCTCCTGCCTCAGCCTCCCAAGTAGCTGGGACTACAGGCACGCACCACCACACCCAGCTAATTTTTCTATTTTTAGTAGAGACGGGGTTTCACCATGTTGGCCAGGATGGTCTCGATCTCTTGACCTCATGATCCACCAGCCTCGGCCTCCCAAAGTGTTAGGATTACAGGCGTGAGCCACCGTGCGGCCCTGTTGCTTCTCCATTCTTAACTGATTGCTCCAGCTTTACAAAATGATAAACCCAGGAATTGTGTCTCACGCCTATAATCCCAGCTACCTGGGGGACTGAAGTGGGAGAATAACTTGAGCCCAGGAGTTCCAGGCCAGCCTGGGCATCATAGTGAGACACCATCTCAAAAAAAAACAGCCTGATAATAAACGTCAGTATAAAGGAGATACAATGTGACTCTCGGAAAAATTTTTAAAAAAGTTATGAATTAAAAAACTTTGAATCAGCCTTGCTAAAAGTAAAAGAACCTAAAGTACACAGGGGTATTTGATGAGGAGCCCTTAGAAGTAATCTTGTTGACCTAAGCATATTACAAAAATTGAAATTAATGAGCTAATTATTATTCTTCACGGTAAGATACAGAAGTAGAGTTCAGAGAATATTTACATTTTGCCTCTACAAAAGGACGTTTAAAAAAAAAGAAGCCTCTCGGGAGAAAAATGAAGTAGAGCAAAGGACTTACTCAAGTTTAAATTTGCAGTAACTCTGTCTCTTGATTTCACAAATTAAGGAGAAGGAGCAAGAAGTTCCCAGTACATCCAATCATACAACTATGAAGTTCCCTGACATATTTAAGTATGTATCTATAAAAACCCCTAAGATACTCAATCATGTGAGCACAAAGTTACTGTGTAATCTTCCATAGATGTAAACTTTAACCACGAAGTAAGTGATAGCTACAAAGCTTGTAAAATATGTTTATTAAAGGAAATTGATTTTTTTTCAGTCAATCTAGAGGAAATGGCTTCGGAGATACATGGAATTTGTTTGCTTCGACTGGCCATCTCACAAAGCTCATTGGACTTATAATAATTTAGTTAACACCATATTCATGTCTCCATAAAAACCCTCATAAGCCACGTATATATACCAAAATTACATACATGTATTTACCCACAGCTACAAATATAGTCTATGTGAGTTTCATATTAAATGATAGTATAGAATATTATTCTATTCTATACTATATTATTATAGAATATTCTATTCTATATTATAACATATATATTATATATAACTCGATATTATATATATACATTTCTTTAGGAGATACTCATGGCTGCTCTGTGTCCAACTACATTTGGGAGTCACCTCTTACTGAATCCTTTTATATACTGGGTCACTTGCAAAGGCTTAATTGAGCATTTGACTATCATATGCCACAGAATGGATCGGACACTATAAATAAAACACAAAAGAGAGTTTGTCTTTTCTGGGCTTCATCTTCTTAAAAAAATCAGCTATTAGACAAGCATATGTCTAATTATATATATCAAGCATATGTCATATTATATATATCAAGTTATATATGTTAAACATCATACATATACTGTAGGTAGCTTTTTGTGGTCACAAAGCTTTACTATTATTATTTTTATGTACTTCTTGAGAAAAGGCTATCTATAACAGGATAATTTTAAGTAAAAAAAGCTTAAATCTTTCAGTCAATGTTCATATATTATCCTCATAAGAACAATTTGTGTTAGGTATTCTTTTCTATTTTAAAGTAGATAAAATATAGGTACAAACATGTTAAGTAATTTGTCTGAGGTACTAGAGGTATGGCGAGAAGCTGATCTCAAGCCAAAATGTAAAGGCCTATGTTTTTCTGATTCTCCTATTATTTTGGTTCTATGAGAGAATGTTAAAGAAAACATAACTTTTTCCCAACTCTCAGTCCAGGACTGAGAAATCTCAAACACTAAGCATATGAGTTTGTGAGCGAAGGTTTGCACATAAATGTATATACTCACATTTATGGGAATATATGATCTGTACTTAAGCCATAAACTAAATTTAAAATTTATAGTTTAAACATGATATTTCAAAATTCTAGTAAAGCAGACACACACTTCTATTTACTTTTCTATTTATATTTATGTATCTTCTGGTCCTTTTACTATTTTATCAAGATACTTGAAAGCAGGGATACTTAACCAAAAGCTGGTTTAGGAATGGATTATGAATGGCTTATGAATGGATTGCAGGAGCATTTGAACTGCTGGATTTTTATGTAAAAGGTTGTATGTAAAGGATATTCACTGTGTATTTTTCTGAGGAGTCCCACAGCTTTTATCAGACTGACAAAGGATGCATGAACTAAACAAATTAAAAAGCAATTAAGGTCTTTATAACCTCTATACATAGAAAGTTCTATGTTTTTTCTACTTTTTATTTCCAGCTGGACAAATAATGTCTTGTAAAAGTTTAGTTCACTGTTTTCTCCCTTCAAGCCCCCAGTGAAGTAGGAGATGATGTTATCTATTTAGTACGGGCTGGAGATAATAAATTGTGAACAAAGTGAAGAATAGTCATGAAGGCTGCTTTACAGAATTGGAGGTAATTTGGTGTCTTTTATTTACTGCAGCTAAAAGGTTCTTCAAAATAAGCATAATCTTTGCTTCAGCTACATGTGTTTCTTCCAGATTTTCTAATGCTCTTCCACATCACTGTTTTCTTGGTTCACCCTTTACATTTTAGATAAATATTCCACAGTGAGACCTTCCTGATCCCAAACCTGAATTAAATAAATACTCTTACGCTCTCTCATGCACTTATTTTTATTTAGAAAATTTATCATAATTCTTGACTACTTACATATGCTTGTCTAATAGCTGATTTTTTTAAGAAGATGAAGCCCAGAAAAGACAAACTCTCTTTTGTGTTTTATTTATAGTGTCCGATCCATTCTGTGGCATATGACAGTCAAATGCTCAATTAAGCCTTTGCAAGTGACCCAGTATATAAAAGGATTCAGTATGAGGTGACTCCCAAATGTAGTTGGACACAGAGCAGCCATGAATATCTCCTAAAGAAATGTTCCACAGGCTGAAATTAAGGCATAATCTCTAGAAAAATGTTTTTTAAAAGTTGTGCTTTATAATATCACATTTATCATGGAAATATATCTGATCATTATGTATCAATAACAGAAATGTGTGCTTTACTATTTTCTTTAGGTTTTGCTAAAACTTACTACCAAATATCCTGAAATTAATTTCACTTTAAAGCTAAATAAATTGGTCTATATACACTAAAGTCATAAGTGAACATTTTCTTTTAGTAGACAATTATACAAAAAAATTCCCTTTTCCTGAAGGCATTTCTTGTCTCTGAAAATAAGAATTTTATAATTGGTCTTATTTTCCGTTTTCTTTGGCTTCTAGGGGTCCCAGAATAACATACGAATCAATTATTTATCTTCTTAGCCAACACCCTTAATCCAAGCAACTGACCTCTTTTGCTTTGATTACATTACTTTCAATACATTCTCATAACCTCACCAATAAAGAGCTATTTGACAGATGAATGTGATCAAGACACCCTTTGCTTACAATTCTTCAATAGCATACTACTGCTTTTAAGATAGATATCCGAACTCAGGAGCTTTCATTTCTTGAATGAAGAGGCTTCTGTGTAGTTCCTCCTCGTCTTGTAGCACCGTAATTTTCTTTTTTATTTATTTATTTTATTTTATTTATTTATTTTTGAGATGGAGTCTTGCTCTGTCGCCCAGGCTGGAGTGCAGTGTCACGATCTCAGCTCACTGCAACCTCCACCTCCTGGGTTCAAGCGATTCTCCAGCCTCAGCCTCCCAAGTAGCTAGGATTATAGGTGCCCGCCACCACGTCCGGCTAATTTTTTGTATTTAAAGCAGAGATGAAGTTTCACTATGTTGGATAGGCTGGTCTCGAACTCCTGACCTCAGGTGATCCACCCGCCTCGGCCTCCCAAAGTGTTGGGATTACAGGCGTGAGCCACTGTGCCCAGCCTGTAATTTTCTTCTTAGATATAGTTACCCTGGCCTTTCTGTTCCTTCCCACAATAGGAGCTTTGCATAAGCTCTTTACTCCAACAGAATAGGCTTCCTTGATATTCTCTTTCTGAATACAGATAATGTAAATATTACTTTACGTTGTAAATATTAACATTTCTCTGACTGAGTGTACGTCTTCCCCATTGACAGTAAGTTTCACAAGGATAGGAAACATGTTTTCAGTTTTTGTCTTGTTACTGTTTTGTTTTCTCATCATACTCCAGCAACTAGCACCTTTTATGTACTGTTTTTAATTAAAATTTGAATGAGTGAACTAAAACATCAGGCCTTAAATCTGCATACATATTTGGCTCTAGTCAATTATATATATACTTCTTTATTTTCACTAATTTGGTTGCACATTTTATTATGTCTCCAAATCATTGTGAAAGACAGTAAGCAAAAACTGACAAATTAGTACAATCTTGGAATTCATGTATTATAAAAGGCTGGTTCAGATTGTTTTACTCAATTGTAACATGTTTTGATTGAAACGGTGTAAAACAGGAAAAAATTATCTAGAACCAAACTTTTATTGCATGTTGGCTATGGAAAAGTACAAATAATAACTAAGACGTAATCAACTAGGCCATAATCTTGATGAGTTTTCAGATTTGATTATATTATATATAGATATAAAATAAAGGAATTAATATTTTAATAAAATCAATGAAACTTCAATATATTTTACAATAGATTTTAAATACTATGTTGATTTTTTATGAAAGTTCAGAACATCAAAAAGACTAATGCAACATAAATTTGCCATGAGTTTATACGCACCTTAAAAGAAATGTTCGCAGATTCTACTTGTATCATGATGGGTTGCTTTTGTGACATAACTATTGAAAATGTGTGTTTTTTTTTTCTGCAGTACAATCTTCACATTCAGATTTAATTGTAATCTTAGCCAACTTTTGCTCATAGAAGGATTAATCATATGACTTTTTGTTTACACACAATCACCTGTAGAAAGCAGTTATCATTCTATTCATTTCTTCATTCATTCAACAACACTGACTTTTATGCTACTCTATGCCAGGCCCTGAGTGAGTTCTGGGAGATACTAATATACACTTAAGTTCTGCCATCAATGAACTTACAGTCTTTTGAGAAAGACAAGGCAATAGTTTCAGCATGACTTGACAAATCTTAAGAAAAAAGAGCCAGAGAAACATAGAAAGAGGGATCTAAATTAGGCTAGAAGAAATAGCAAGGAGTAGATACAGGGAGGAAGGGTGTCCCAGACACAGAAATATGCATGTGCTATATAAAATTACATAATATATTTAAGAAAGAGCAAGAAGGCCGGGCGCGGTGGCTCACGCCTGTAATCCCAGCACTTTGGGAGTCCATGGCAGGTGGATCACCTGAGGTCAGGAGTTCAAGACCAGCCTGGCCAACATGATGAAACCCCATCTCTCCTAAAAATACAAAAAATTAGCTGGGCATCGTGGCAGTCACCAGTAATCCCAGCTACTCGGGAGGCTGAGGAGGGAGAATCGCTTGAACCTGGGAGGTGGAAGTTGCAGTGAGCTGAGATTGTGCCATTGCACTCCAGGCAGGGCGACAGAGCAAGACTCCATCTCAAAAAAAAAAAAAAAGAAAAAAAAGAAAGAGCAAGAAATTTCATGTAGTTGGGATCAAGGGCATTTTGAGGTAAGTAAGACAGATTTTAGGTTAAAGGGGTAGCCAAGATTTTTAAATTCTAAACATATTTGAAAGGAAAAAATCATAATCTAATTTTTTATTACTCTTTATTACAAAAACAAATTTGGTTTTAAAGATCAATAAACTACATTTTTAATACAAAGTAGTATATACAATATGCATGTAATTACCTTTTGCTATTTCAAGCTTTGCTCTGTGTGCATACAAATATATCAATACACATATATAATTTTTAAAATACATAAAATCTTAATGTGTACAACACACATATGACAACGTTTTGAATATTTAAACAAAAGCAAATGACTTGCTAAATTGCAAATATGTACATATGGAAAATAGATATATTTGCTCATGCAACTGCTTTTTAAAATTCCATTACTTCTGCCAAATCAAGCAACACTCACACGGGTGGTATAAGTACACAGAAATAGCGAACAACATAAATGTTAGCATTCATAGATCAGCCTTTTATGGGAATGTAATTTTTCATGTACAATTCACTCAACATATTAAAACAATCTTTTTATGTCCCTTGTTATGGTTTTATCAGACAAGCAGAACAATTTCAAGGGAACCTAAGAGTAGACTATCAATATTAGTCATTGCTCATGTTGTGTTTACAGGAAGTTCACTAATTTACATTCGATTTATATTAATAATCAAGAGTGGAACTGCAATGAAGTGCAAACTTTCTTTTTAATTCTCTTTTCTGTAGTGTACAAACTCATGTATCAGTAGCTTTGGGGGCTATTAGCACTACCTCCAGAATATAAACCTGTCATATTTTAAATTTGCCTCATTTCAGAAGTTTTGTCTTCTTATATTCAAAGGAGCATGCTTGGTATGAGTCACAGTATCAACTTCTGCATTGAATGTTTTCTAAGCCATCTCAAAATGCATACAAATTGTTAGAAATCAATCTCAATTTATTTATCTAACATATTTACATGATATCCAAAAATGAAGACAGGATAGATAATAGAAATCTAATATAAACCTGTAAGCTATTTTAACAACATCAAATGTATGGTGTCCCTTAAGAGTGCTAAATCAAACACTACTTCTTCCAGAATTTTTTTTTTTTTTTTTTTTTTTTTTTTGAGATGGAGTCTCGCTCTGTCACCCAGGCTGGAGTGCAGTGGTGCGATCTCGGCTCACTGCAACCTCCGCCTCTTGGGCTCACGCCATTCTCCTGCCTCAGCCTCCAGAGTAGCTGGGTCTACAGGCGCCTGCCACCACGCCCGGCTAACTTTTTGTATTTTTAGTAGAGACGGGGTTTCACCATGTTAGCCAGGATGGTCTCGATCTCCTGACCTCGTGATCCACCCACCTTGGCCTCCCAAAGTGCTGGGATTACTGGCGTGAGCCACCGCGCCCGGCCTTCTTCCAGAATTTTTGGGAGATGTAAAATAAAGAGATGATTTAAAAAGCTCTTTGTGAATGCATATTTTAATCTTTACTCTGGCTCTGGAGATTTTATAGAGGTAGGTAAACTAAAGTTGTGTTTCTAAATAATGTTTCTGTAAGATATATTTTTAAATCTATAAGTTAAAATGTTTCAGAGAGATAATGCGATCTGTTTGAAGCCATGCTATATTTTGGAGACGACTTTTTTTTTTTTTATTTTTTTGAGACAGAGTTTTGCTCTTGTCACCCAGGCTGGAGTGCAATGGCACCATCTTGGCTCACTGCAACCTCTGCCTCCCAGATTCAAAGATTCTCCTGCCTCAGCCTCCCAAGTAGCTGGGATTACAAGCATGCACCACCACACCTGGCTAATCGTTTGTATTTTTAGTAGAGATGGGGTTTCACCATGTGGGCCAGGCTGGTCTCGAACTCCTGGCCTCAAGCGATTTACTCGCCTCAGCCTCCCAAAGTGCTGGGATTATAGGCGCGAGCCACCGCACCTGGCCAAAGGGACAATATTTCTTTAGGTCAAAGGGAAAGTTTACAACAAACCACGTAACCACACAAACTGCAAGAACAAATATTTCCCTTCTGAGCTGCCTTAGCAAAGGGTATCTGGGAATATCAAACAGAATGATTCATAAGCAAATTATAATGTCCAGAATATTCAAATTTTCAATATCAAGTTTGTGTTTTACCAGCAGAATCAAAATTATAAGAAATTATCGAGTTTGGTCTCAGTATAGTTCTATGTGCTATAAGGATCCTCCAGAATGTAAAAAATAATACCTGTTCTCAAGAATCTTATTTAACAGTTGAGAGAATGAGCTGGATCTGAATAAAACACATAAACTATGATTCTTAGACTTTTATCACCTCAGAGATATGCTAGGAAAATACTGTATTTTTTAAGAATCCCTTTAAAAACTTTCCTTAAAGCAATAACACAAGCATTCTAGATGGTTCCACATAGAAGCAGAAAAAAAATACAAGAAAGAAAGCTCTATATAACCAATCCCTGATTTAAAATTGTGAAACAATCTCAAATAGGTCCAGTCCCATTTCATTACCAAACATCTACAAGTTTATGCTCTGGGTTTACCATCTTTTGATATCTCCTCCCTAATACCAGTGAAAGGGATATGGAAATTTGTTGATACAGATGTTACTGTAGAATTAATACTGACAGTGATCAGTGAAATTTACATTGGGGTGGTAATTAGTTATTAATGATTTAAAATTTTTACAGTGTCACCTTTACTGTCTTCTAACGATGTGTGTCCAAAACAGTATTTATACATGAGACTCTTTTTTTTTTTTTTTTTTTTTTGAGACAGAGTCTCACTCACTCTGTCGCCCAGCCTGGAGGGCAGTGGTGTGATCTGGGCTCACTGCAACCTCTGCCTCCCAGGCTCAAGCAATTCTCCTGCCTCAGCCTCCCAAGCAGCTGAGATTACAGGCACTGGCCACCACGCCCGGCTAATTTTTGTATTTTTAGTAGAGACGGGGTTTCATCATGCTGGCCAGGCTGGTCTCAAACTCCTGACCTCAGGTAATTCATCCCCTCAGCCTCCCAAAGTGCTGGGATTACAGGTGTGAGCCACCATGCCCAGCCCCACCAGTAACATTTTAAGGGCTCAATAGTCACATATGGCTATTGGCTACTATATTGGTCATGATAGATACAGAACATTTCTATTGCAGAAAGTTCTATTAGCACTATCTGAGCAATATAACTTTTTATTGTCACTAAGAGGAACTTACCTAGTTATTTACTCTGGTCTGCTAGTATGATTTTACCTGTAAATATAATACAGCATATTTGGACTGCAACACATAATTGAATCTTTCCCAGATAGGACAGAATATATGTATTTGTTCTGTTCAGAAAGATTCATCCCAGTTTAGCGGAAGAGAAAACGAAGCCTCAACACCTATAATAGCTTTTTAAATATCACAAAACTGGTGCTTATCTATCAAAGAATACTGACAATGCCATTAAAATTGTTGTTCTCTGCGCTGTATATAAATATACTGAATAATATTGGTTAATATGGGTATGCCTAGGAGCAAGTTGCTAACTTTCTTTGAATTATAGTTTCTCATGGTGTAAACCAATTCTGCTTGAATGGGTCTGCTGTCATTGGATGTGGTATAAAAATTGTGAGGAGCTTAGCATAACCATAACCTAGGGCAAACCCAAGCCCTTCTCTTAAGTAGCACGGCACTAAAGACTTATAACTTGAGTGCTTTTCAAAGGTGTGTGGAGGCTGTATCCTCTTTACTGCTCCTTCCCTGTGTTATATGTAAACAATGTTTATTTAGAAACAGAATGCTTGTTCCCTGGTGCTGCAAAGAAACAGCACTCGAACATAAATTTAACTCTCTCAGCAAGGTCATTTTTACTTTTTGCAGAAAGGGTACACTCGCCAGCAGTTTTGCCACGAGAGTACACCGAACAAAGGAGACAGGGTCATTTATAACCTGACATGTTTACTCTACTGCTGTGTCCGGTTTCCATTGGCTGGAACAGGACCACACATTCTGTATTTGTCCCGATTGGCTAGCAACTTAGAACTTTTCAAAAGAGACAAAGGCAGAGGAGAACAAAGGAAGGAGGAAGTAACTTGTTTCCACAAGTTACTTGCTGAGAAAGGTAAAAACACCTTCAAATAAGGAAGAGGAACAGGCTATGACCTAATGCGTGCTTGGACCAGTATAAGCATGCCAGGGCAAATATTTAGGCTAAATTGTGGGAACTAAGAACATAAAGTACATTGATTTCTTTATTACGGCTAGTAGATATTTAAGAATGTTAGCACAGGTCGTTTAATAAATTTTGCTTCTAGGAGACGTTACTATTTATTCCCATTTAGATGGGTAGGAAAGTTTCTTTGGAGAGAAACCTCTACTTTTTACACCTGCAAGAGCTCAGGTTGTAAGTGGCTGTATTTCTTTTTCAAAGGTCACAGCTCTTGTTGGGCGGTCTCTCCTCAGCTCCTCCATTTCCAGGATCTAGTAATTGCTCCCTCACATTTTACCTTTTTTAGGCCTAGTGGTGGGTTATGTCTTTCTATTGTCCCCAGAGCCAGGGGCCACCTGCATCACAGTATTCATTAGTTTCCCTTAACCCTACCCACAACTTTGAATATTGTTTCTTATTGCCTCTCATAGTTTACCCATTTTAGCATGCCGTGTGTTTGTTTTCTTGCTGATCTCTGATAGATAAGCATCCAGAGATGATGATATGTCTGCTATTAATTAAGGATTTGTTCGTCACTCCATATGAGTTAATAAAAGTCCAAAATATGACTTAAAATTAACAAATTTTGTATGAACTTGTGGTTGTTCCATATCTATCTAGAAACATATCTCTAGAATAGTTCTCATTTCATGTCGAGATTAAGATATTTAGTATATAGTGGCATTAACTCTTCATCTTGCCCATTAAAGGCAAAACAGATTGTTTTTTAATTATTTCTTCAAATGGAACTTCCTTTCATAAAGACAACGTGTACTGTAAGCATTCTTTACTGTTTTTTACAGCCAAGAAAAATCGACATAGTTTACACACCTATTGATTTGTCATAAGATGTCAACTAGAGAACAAAAAAAACCCAAACAGATTAATGGACAAGAGTGTTAATTGCAATGATATATAAAAAAGCCAAAATTACATAATAGCTCTAACGTAATAGCTCTGACACGCAACATAAGAAGATAAAGAATGAACTATCTATAGGTAATATTTAAAAATATATGTAGAAACCATTAAGGCATTGTTGACTCAAGGACACTGGAAGAGATGCTGGCCCAATCCAAACAGATGCTGGTTTAAAATGACTGGACTATTCTTACAAGGGGCACACCAACTCAGTATCAGTTCTACAGCAAAACCATATGACAGAATATTATGGAGCAATGTAAGTAATGATTAAGTTTTACAATGCAAAGTTAGACACCAAAAAATATCTAACTTTATTAAGGAAAAAATAAACTGTTTAGAGAAAGGATGTTTTAGCTGTGGGTGGCTTTCCCTCTGTTTTAAAATTATACTTTTAAAATTTCTTTAAATATCATGTATTTCTTTGTTAAAGATGGAAACGATGAAGCCGGGCACGGTGGCTCACGCTTGTAATCCCAGCACTTTGGGAGGCAGAGGCAGGTGGATCACCTGAGGCCAGGAGTTCGAGACCAGCCTGACCAAAATGGCGAAACCCCATCTGTACTACTAATATAAAATTAGTCAGGGATGGTGGCGCATGCCTGTCATCCCAGATACTCGGGAAGCTGAGGCAGGAGAATCGCTTGAACCCAGGAGGCGGAGATTGCAGTGAGCCAAGATTGCACAGTTGCCCTCTAGCCTGGGTGACAAGAGCAAAACTCCGTCTCAAAAAACAAAAAACAAAAAATGAAAACCATGAGTAATAAATGAAAATCAATTAACTCAGAGTGTATTAATGGAATTATATGTGTATCAAGTACAATATTTAACTAAATTATAATTGTAAAACTCCTGAATTTGGATAGAATATCTCAGAAATCTACCCCTACCAATTTTTTCATGTTAATATCACCTCTTCTAAAATCTCATCAGCTCCTAGGAAATGCCTAGATTTTAAAAAGCAACTATAACCTATGGATAGGATGGTCCCTGTGTGGCCACTAGGAAGCTGCTGGAAGAGAAAGAGAGATATAGTATATTCTGTAGCCATGTGACAAGTGTGGGACCAGAAGAGCAGTTAGTGAGGATAATTTTGCACAGCATTTGAAATTCTTACATTAAAGATACTTTGTTGGCAATCGCAGCGTTTATTTGTTTATTTGGTTTTACATATAAATAAAAATGCATTCCTAAGCATATTAAAGAGGCACTTGTATTGTTAATGTCCTACTAAAGCTAGGAAAATACAGTTTTTGGATCAGATCTAAATTTAAGTCTAGATTCTGCCACCTAGGAGCTGTAAAATCTTGTGTAAATTACTGAAAAATCTCTCTGAACCCTATTATCTATATTGATGAATGGGCATAAGAGAAACTACTTCAGGCCAGGTGCGGTGGCTCACGCCCATAATCTCAGCACTTTGGGAGGCCGAGGCACGCGGATCACCTGAGGTCAGGAGTTCGAGACCAGCCTGGCCAACGTATAGTGAAACCCCGTCTCTACTAAAAAATACAGAAATTAGCTGGGCGTGGTGGCACATGCCTGTAGTCCCAGCTACTTGGGAAGCTAAGGCAGGAGAATCGCTTGAACCAGGGAGGCGGAGGTTGCAGCGGGCAGAGATCGTGCCACTGCACTCCAGCCTGGGCAACAGAGCAAGACTCCATCTCTCAAAAAAAGAAAAGAAAAGAAGAAAAAAAAAGAAAGAAAAACTACTTCAAATGGCTTTTGGGAAGAACTAATGTGATAGTGTGTGTTGAATGCGTAGTGCCTGATAGTGCATAATTAATAAATGTTTATTCCCTTTTCTAAAATGAGGAAGTAAATAATATGGTAAATGACATTTTTTCTCTTTTTTAAATTATATTCACAAGGTAGACTTGTTTCCCTCTATATCAGTAAGCTTGTTTATTTTTAAACTGGCTCAAGGCAATTGAAGATATTTCAGATAACAGAAGTTAACCTTTCCATCCTCTTGGTATTCAAATTCTTTCTCCTTTGATAAAACTTTCAAAGAAGGTTTTCAATGTTTATTCCAAATGATTTCAAGTT
This sequence comes from Homo sapiens, assembly GCF_000001405.40. Taxonomy (NCBI): domain Eukaryota; kingdom Metazoa; phylum Chordata; class Mammalia; order Primates; family Hominidae; genus Homo; species Homo sapiens. The sequence goes on from NC_000023.11 coordinate 33,102,013, forward strand.
GACGTTATAAGTTCAAATTAAAGTTTGAATTCAAATCCAAACTTCCTAAACTTTTCTAAGACAGTAAAATAACCATTGTTCTTTAGGCTCACGGACTTCATAGACTGTCACGTTTTATTTATTTCAGGTTTGTTGTTTGCCACAATAGACATTCTTCTCTTTGAAATAAAATAATATTTCCTCTATTTATTCCTTGAGATAACTCTAAAATTTATTCATTAAAAGAATCGTCCTTTAAGTATAATTTTGGAAAAAAAGAAACTTCCAAAGAGGAGATATTACCCCAGAAGGCTGGTTTTTTTTGTTTTTTTTTTTTTTTAAGTATTCCACTTTAAAAACTCAGGTGTTACAGTTCACTGAGCATAATGTATTGGATTTCTGGGAATTAAAGGCAATGTTATTTGACAAAGTTCTAATTAACTGGTTGTACAGTTAAAATTTTTTTCTTCAAATTTTCTCATCAGATAACCTCTCAAATATTTTCTCATCAAATAACTTCTTAGAAATGGAGGTTTTATTTTAAAAAAGACAGTGTTACATTTAATGCTAGGATTGAAATCTTCCTAAAGTGGGAGAATAAATAATAATGATGTATTTCTCTGAATGCTTTATTGATTCCACTACAATTTGTCCATGTGTTACCATGTGTTACCATACTTGGTATATTATTTCATATCCAGAGTCCATTCAGTCTTATAAGAGCTTATTAAATACATACTAATACATATCAAATTATAAATGAATCAGTGGGCATTCTACATTTTACATCGTATATATGTACATATATATCTACATATAAATGCTCAAGCATTTAGTTGTTAAGTGAACGCTTTTCATTGGCAAGAAAAACTTACTTGATGTTTAATTGGTTCAGGTTGCATCTCATGCACATACTTAAACCCGTAAATGGCAAGTGGTATGGAAGCATATAAGCGAATTAAAGTATGATTCATTTTCTGTGACAAGGGGTAGTCTCATTTCTTTACTGAAGACTACTGTGAAATTGTGAGGATGGAGATCTGAGCAAAATCAGAGTTCTATTGGAATGGACACAGGAATGAGCCTATCTGGTAGGTGATTAAGGTATCTGTTACAACTTGATACACAACAAGAAATCCAGTAATATTAATTGGTAAGACATTCTTCTAGCATCACGATATTAAATACGTCCAGAATTCCTATAAAATCTGTACATTAAGTTAATTTCTTTCAAAAATTAACTTTTGGTTCTAGAGTACTTTGATGTGTTTCCATAACTGACCTGTCAGGCCTCTGAGCCCAAGCTAAGCCATCATATCCCCTGTGACCTGCATGTATACGCCCAGATGGCCTGAAGTAACTGAAGAATCACAAAAGAAGTGAAAATGGCCTGTTCCTGCCTTAACTGATGACATTCCACCACAAAAGAAGTGGAAATGGCCTGTTCCTGCCTTAACTGATGACATTACCTTGTGAAATTCCTTCTCCTGGCTCATCCTGGCTCAAAAAGCTCCCCCACTGAGCACCTTGTGACCCCCACTCCTGCCCACCAGAGAACAACCCCTCTTTGTAATTTTCCTTTACCTACCGAAAGCTTATAAAACGGCCCCACCCCTATCTCCCTTCCCTGACTCTCTTTTCGGACTCAGCCCGCCTGCACCCAGGTGATTAAAAAGCTTTATTGCTCACACAAAGCCTGTTTGGTGGTCTCTTCACACGGACGCGACTGAAATGACCCATTAGAAAAGCATACTTACTTATGTCTTGCATTTTTTGAGCTATAATTTTTAAAAAATGTAAACTCAGAAATGTATGGAATCACTAAAAAAATTATAGAAAATGGGATCTCACAGTTATGTCTTTGTAACTCATGCACATTAAAAGCAATCCCAAATAAAAATAATGATAAATCTAGCATAATAAATCATTATTTCTTTAAATATATTTTTCCTAAGAACAGAACGATAACTCAAATTTAAGTGTTCCAAACTGATAAGTCCTCAGGGGAACACTAAAAGTGAGAGTAATTTAAAAGTAGAATATCAGTAGATTTTAGCAAAAGAAAAATTGATAGTGCTCATTAGGAATTTATATAATTTATTGAATCATAATTACACTATTGATTTACATAACAGACTCCTTTCACAGGTAAACTTTCTCCTAGAGTTTTGTCATATTTTACAAATTCTAAATGAGTTAGCCCACTTAAATGTTTGTTTCTTAAAATTTTCTAGCACAGAAAAATATGTTAATAACGTTTTAAAATAATAATGTAGTGTGTTTCTTTTGAATAAAGAGACTATCATGTAGAAACTGTCAGGCCTCTGAGCCCAAGCTAAGCCATCATATCCCCTGTGATCTGCACGTACACATCCAGATTGCCGGTTCCTGCCTTAACTGATGACATTCCACCACAAAAGAAGTGAAAATGGCCTGTTCCTGCCTTAACTGATGACATTGTCTTGTGAAATTCCTTCTCCTGGCTCATCCTGGCTCAAAAGCTCCCCCACTGAGTACCTTGTGACCCCCACTCCTGCCTGCCAGAGAACAACCCCCCTTTTTCCTTTATCTACCCAAATCCTATAAAACGGCCCCACCCCTATCTCCCTTCGCTGACTCTCTTTTCGGACTCAGCCCACCTGCACCCAGGTGAAATAAACAGCTTTATGGCTCACACAAAGCCTGTTTGGTGGTCTCTTCACACGGACGCGTATGAAAGAAACATTTAACCATTCTTAATTCAAACACAGACGCCCAAGTAAGAAAAGTGAATTTATAAAATTGGGTAAAATTCACAAGCTGAATTATTAGTTCACAAACTGAAATATCAGTAATAACCTAAAATAGTGTTTATTCTCAAAGACAATGTGAAAACTCTCATTAGGCATTAGAATCTACTTTTCAAACTCAAAAGTGAATCTCCTTGTAATTATCAGAGCTAAATATATGTAAACAAAGTAACTGATTTAGTTAAAGTGATTAAACTTTTTTCCCATTCTCCCCCAGTTAAAATGAACAGTGGCTAAAAATTATTATCTTAAAGGTTTATCCATAGTTCCAATTGCAACATTTTAAAACGTCTATTCCTACATAGACCATTGGAATAGAATAGAGAAGCCAGAAGTGAAGCCAAATACTTAAAACCAATTTACCTTCAACAAAGCATACAAAAACATAAATTGGGCAAAGGACAGCCTATTCAATAAATGGTGCTGGGAAAATGGGACAACCACATGTGGAAGAATGAAACTGGATCCCTATCTCCTACCATATACAAAAATTAGCTCAAGGAGGATTAAAGACTTAAGTCTAAGACCTGAAACCATAAAACTCCTCAAAGAAAACCTAGGAAAAACTCTCCTGGACATTGGCCTAGGTAAAGAATTTATGACCAAGACCTCAAAAGCAAATGCAACAAAAATAAAAATAAACAAATGGGATCTAAGTAAACTAAAAAGCTTCTGCACAGCAAAAGAAATAACCATCAACGTAAACAGAAAACCGACAGAATGGAAAAAAATATTTGCAAACTGCATCTGACAACTGACCAATATCTACAACCTACAAAGAACTCAAGCAAATCAGCAAGAAGAAAACAATCTCTTTAAAAAGCTTGGAAACGACAAGAATATACATTTCTCAAAAGAAGATATACAAATGATCAACAAATACATGAAAAAATACTTAACATCACTAATCATCAGGGGAATGCAAATTAAAACCACAATGAGATACTTCCTTATCTTAGCCAGAATGGCCATTATTAAAAAGTCAAAAAACAATAAACGTTGGCATGGACAAGATAAAAAGAGAACACTTATATACTGCTGGTGGAAGTGTAAATTAATACCTCTCTGGAAAACAGTATGGAGATTTCTCAAAGAACTAGAAGTAGGTATACCATTCAATCCACGAATCCTAATACTGCATATCTACCAAAATAAAAATAAGTCACTATATGAAAAAGGCACCTGCATACATATGTTTATTGCAGCACAATTCACAATCGCAAAGATATAGAATCCACCTTAGAGTGGATAAAGAAAATGTGAGATACACACACCACACACACACACACACACACACACACACCATAGAATACTACTCAGCCATATAAACAATGAAATAACGTCTTCTGCAGCAACTTGGATGGAACTGGAGGTTATTATTCTAAGTGAAGTAACTCAGAAATGGAAAATCAAATACTGTGTGTTCTCACTTATAATGGGAACTAACTTATGAGTATGCAAAGGCATACAGAGTGATATAAGGGACTTCAGAGACTCAGAAGTGGAGGGGGTGGGAATGAGGGATAAAAAACTACATATTGGGTACAACGTACACTACTCGGGTGACGGCTCAATAAAATCCCGGACTTCACCATTATACAATTCATACACGTAAGCAAAAACCACTTGAAACCCTAAAGCTATTGAAGTACAACAAAATAAAAAATAAAATGTATATTCCAATAAGAGGAAGTTTGTAGTCTTATATTCTTATTGCTCAGCAAATTGTACATTAAGGGCATATTGAATATTCCATAAAATATTTTTCACTAATTTAATTACTAGTAATCATGTAAAGCCAAAACATAAACATTCACAGGGCTTCCTGGTGATCTATTTCCTCATATTTTTTCCTCCTCATTATTTGCCTCATAATGTTTTGAACACATCCACTGTCTTCAATAAGCTTCCCTTACAACATCAAATGTGATTTCACCTATTTTCCCCTATTCACTTCCAACAGAGATTTTAGTTGGTTATCAGATCCTGTTGTGGCTGACAGGCATTAGAAATAGAAAATTATCAAGTTACTTGAGGCCATGAAATTGAGGGCCAAACACAGATTTCCAAAAAGCTTGCTGTTTTCGATATGGTTATGTCTTCAGCCCACATCCTGTCATGCTAGGGCAGTTTTCCATTTACAGAAGCAAGTGGCTGTAAGGTTTTGTGGTAGTCAGGTAGATGTCACAGCGCAAACAGGAATTAACTCAATACGTATAAAAGAGAAAGCTTTCGAAAAGAAGTTTAAGGCCGGGTGCAGTGACTCAACGCCTGTAATCCCAGCACTTTCGGAGGCAGAGGTGGGCGGATCACCTGAGGTCAGGAGTTCAAGACCAGCCTGGCCAACATGGTGAAACCCCGTCTCTACTAAAAATACAAAAATTAGCTGGCTGTGGTGGCGGATGCCTGTAATCCCAGCTACTCGGGAGGCTGAGGCAGAAGAATCTCTTTAACTCAGGAGGCGGAGGTTGCAGTGAGCCGAGATGGCATCATTGCACTCCAGCCTCGGCAACAAGAGCGAAGCTCTGTCCCCCCCCCCCCCCCAACACACACAAAAAAAACAGCAACAACAACAAAAAACAAAGTTTGTGTATAATACATGCCAAGAGGGTAGGAATAAAATACCATTTGCTGTCAAGATATATTTCTAAACAAGTTTATTAGGAAGGCAGTAGCAGATATGAAAAAAAAATAGGATAGGGCACTGGAAATAATAAATTTAAATCAGCATTTTTTTAAATTTAGAAATTCATAATCTCCAACCAACAGAACTAATACTTAAGTATAATTTCCATGGTAATGATTATTTAAAACCCCATATTGACTATGAATTTATAGATGGTGATTCCATATGCAAAAAAGCAAACTTGCATTTATAATAGAAATGAGAACAAAGCAACAGAATGTGTAATATGTTGAAGGAGTCATTAACTTTAGTGGAGGACAGTCAAGTTCCTAAAGATTCATTTATTTATTCATTCATTCAGCAAAAAAATAGAATTATTTAGTTCAGGTTATAATTCCAGATTCTTTATAAATTAATAATGACTTTAAATGCATGTGAATTTCATAGTACTGTATATTTTTTTATCTAGGAATATTTTTCCTTAAATGATACTATTCTCCGAATTTAATAAAGTACCATTTCTACTGATAGATTATGACTTTTAAAAAATTGGTTTATAATTAAGGAAAATATGAATAAAAAGGACAAGCTGATTGATTCATTAAGAGGCAAAATTATGCTAGATATTGTATCAACAATATATTGTTTTACTAACAATAAAACTAATGTTTCCATTAACTAAAATAAATAATTAGAATGACTACCATTTTTGAAATACGTAGAACAAATAACAAATTTTAGTGCATTTAATCCCTATTTTAATTTTATTAGGTTTTTTTTTCAGTTCTACTTTACATACAAGCAAACATGCTGAGCTAAGCTAATACAAAATAATACATTTTCTGTTGCTGTTGTTTGTCTTCTGTTTTTTGAGACGAAGTATCCCTCTGTCACCTGTCACCTAGGCTGTAGTGCAGTGGCATGATCTTGGCTCACTGTAACCTCTGCCTCTCGGTTTCAAGGGATTCTTTTGCCTCAGCACCCCCGAGTAGCTGGGATTAAAGGCATGTGCCACCAGGCCGGCTAATTTTTGTATTTTTAGTACAGACGGGGTTTCACTATGTTGGCCAGGCTGGCTCAAACTCCTGATCTCAGGTGATCGGACCGCCTCAGCCTGCCAAAGTGCTGGGATTACAGGCATGATCCACCGTGCTGGGCCCAGAATAACACATTTAAGAAGTGATTTTGGCTGGCCGCGGTGGCTCACCCCTGTAATCCCAGCCCTTTGTGAGGCCCAGGAGGGCGGATTACCTGAGGTCAGGAGTTTGAGACCAGCCTGGCCAACATGGTGAAACCTCGTCTCTACTACAAATACAAAAAATTATCCAGGCATGGTGGAGGGCCAACTACTCATGAGGCTGAGGCAGGAGAATTGCTTGAACCTGGGAGGTGGAGGTTGCAGTGAGCCGAGATCGCGCCGTTGCACTCCAGCCTGGGCAACAAGAGTGAAACTCCGTTTCGGAAAAAAAAAAAAAAAGAAGAAGAGAGAGAAGTGATTTAAACCTAAGTCTGTTCAATTTTAAAACTTGTAATCTTAAATAAAAATTATATTTAGAATTATAGTATCAATTTTATTGGCCAGTTAAAATTTTAATAAAGTAGATATATATGCAATTTGTACTATCAGCTATAGATGGCTTGTTTGACCACATTTTAATGTGTTACATATTTTCATTTAGTATAGTTCATCCTGGAATATTAAGTTCCCTAGATCAACCACTTTTTAATATATACTCATGCTATTGTTTTGAAAATTAGAGATAACTGTTTAGCTTTAACATAAGGCTTTAGACTGGTTAACTAGTAGTGTCCATTCAGGTCCCTGCTGGTTTCTGTTTGAAATCAAGGCCAATAATAACGGTCTTAAAGAGGATTATTGGAAAAGTTAAGATGTGAACCTTCTTGCTCAACAAAGAATGCAAGCAAAATTGTCTTAATCTAGAACAGTTTGAAAACACTATCTTAGTCTATTAGTGTATTTTTTCAGTCCGGTTTGTTTCTTCTGCTTCTTTAAATCATAGTTGTTTTTCTGGATGAACTTCATTATAATCTGGAAATTCACATTGACATTTCTCCCAGAAAGCCAAATAAAGCACACATTTAGAAAGCCTAAGTACAGCATCTAAAGCTTCCTTGACCATTATAACTGAATAACAGCCGTGTAGTGTAGTGCTAAAAAAAAAAAATTATTCCAGTTACATGGTTCAGTCTCTTGAGATTTACAGGTAGCCAATTATGGCCCACAGGCCAGACAAGTGACTGATCGTTGTCTGAAAACAACGACGAAGTGGGGAGGTGAAAAAGATTTACGGTTTTTTTTCCCCTTACAGGTAGATGTTGTTTGAAATAATGAGATTTAAAACGCTAATGCAGAGCTTTGATCTCTTCTTTGATGTTTCTTGCCTGTTGTCTATATGAAATATAGTCAGTTAAAATAAAAAGCCAGAGAATAGTTTCTACTCACTAATGATTAATAAAAACTGCTTGGCAAATGCAATCTTGCACATTGACAAATGAAAACAGAATAGGATGCCCAACAATGGTTTAAAAAAAAAAAAGGTTTTTTTGTTTGTTTCTTTGTTTGTTTACATTGCCACAGTACACTGCTCTTTGTTCCCTGACCCTGCAAGCTCTCACCGGGTGACTTCGACTTTGCACCTACTTTTCTCTTTTTTAGAATGCCCTCTCTCACATGTTACCACTAGAGAAACAATCACGTGTGCTTCAAGGCCAAATCAAAAATTTCCTCTTCAGTCCTTTGGACTGAGAGAGTTATGCCCAATTTCACAGCATATGGTACAAGCCTCTGTTATTTTTCTGTACCATGGTATTATATGTACTTGCCTGTGTCTCTTCTAGATATGGGGTCCTTAACTATTTTTGTGCTATGGATCCCTTTGGCATCTGGTGAAGCATATGGAACACTTCCCAGACTGTTTTCAAATGTGCAAAATGAAAACTAAAAGCATATAAAAAACAAAGGAAATTAATTATATTGCAATTGTAAAATACTGAATATAATACTATTATATGCTATTAATACATTAGTTATAAGCATAATAATTAATACAAATTAAAAGTAGTGATTAGTATACTAACCACTGGTATATATTAACATATGATTTTTCAAGATATCCAAAACAACTAGGATTTGATATAAAAATATTGGTAATAAATTCACAGATATTGCTAATACCGTTCTGTGTTGCTTATCTTCATAAAGGGAAAGAAATGCAAATTTTCAGTTACAGGTTAGTGAAAATAAAGATGTAATTTTTTTCCTATCATGGTTCATGGACCCCAGATTAAGGACACTGTATTTTGACTGTATGGCTTCAAGGGCAGAGTTTTTATTTGTTCATCTTTGTGTCTTTAGTACAGAACAGAACCATGGGCACAATCCAAGCCTATTGAATGGTGGCCGAATTGTGTATTGAACGTTCAAATGTCAGTTCTATCACTGCCCTTATCACATCACAAGAGAGAAATTTGATGTTCATTAAAATTAATAATTTTAAAAAACATTTTAATTAAAATATTTATTATAATTAAAATCTGATAAACTTGTCAATGGGTATGATACGTGGCACTGTGTATATTCTTTTGCTTATACACAGATGCTTGAAAATTAAAATTAAAAAGCTACTGCAACTAAGCACTCAGCAATTGTCATATTTTTCTCCACTTTTCCCTAAGTCAATAGGCAACCATGAAGTTGACAATGTTGCTGATAACATTGTCATACTCAACATCATTTCCCACAAAGCTTAAACCTCTACAGAAACTCAGCAGTCCCTACAACACATCCTTGAAGAATGAGAGGGGTGTCAATAATTTCAGCTGCTCAAATGGAAGGCTCTGACATCAAGGAATATTAAGTGGCACATTGAAGGGAATTCTACTATTAAGTAATGAAGGTGAGGAAAACAATTTCTCAATCCACGGTTATTTCTTTGTTATACTAAGAACCGTGCCCAATACTTATGGAACAAAATAAGCCTATCATTTGGACGTCTCCTATCAGCCTGAAGCCTGATGTCATATAAACCAATAATCTGTGATTGAATTTTTCAGCTTTCAGTGTTTTATTTTTAGCATAATATTTGGTATTGCCATACGTGACTTATTATTCTGTTCAATTTAATCAAATTAGAGAATAAACAAAACGACAAACATAATTTCTCTTAATGTGCGTGTGTGTTTTTCTTTTTTGAGACGAAGTTTCATTCTTGTTGCCCAGGCTCGATTCGAGTGCGATGGCATAGTGTTGGCTCACTGCAACCTCTGCCTCTGGGGTTCAAGGGATTCTCCTGACTCAGCCTCCCAAGTAACTGGGATTACAGGTGCCTGCCACCACGCCCGGCTGATTTTTTTTCTATTTTTAGTAGAGACCGGGGTTTCACCATGTTGGCCAGGCTGGTCTCAAACTCCTGACCTCAAGTGATTCACCTGCCTCGGCCTCCCAAAGTGCTGGGATTACAGGCGTGAGCCAGCATGCTTGGCTTAATGTGTTTTAATGACATAATTCCAACAACCATATAACTATATTAGTACAAAAAGCAACTACATGAAATAAAAATCTCAATTGTTTGCCAAATGGATACAAATAATATATATTACATATATTATATATAACATGCATATAATAAAATACACAGTAGTCTGCCTCTTATCCATGGTTTTGGTTACCCATGATCAACTGCAGTCCAAAAATAGATGAGTACAGTACAATAAGATATTTTGAGAGATAGAGACCACATTCACATAACTTTTATCACAGTATATTGTTATAATTGTTCTAATATTAGTTATTGTTGTTAATCTCTTATGGTTCCTAATGTATATATTAAACTTTGTTATATGTGTATGTATATAAGAAACATAATATATACATAAGGTTTGGTATTATCCACAGTTTCAGGCATCCACCAGGGGTCTTAGAACACGTATCCCTACAGATAAGGGGAGATTAATTATTTCTACCATTACAGAATTAAAATGAGTCTGTGTTAATCTTCCTATTCAAAAATTATTTCTAATTCAGAGAAATTCAAAGAGAGTCTATAACGCTATGCGGTTTATTGACATTAAAGACATTAATAGTTAATTGCTTGAAGAAGAAAATAGACTTTTTCAGTAATAATAACAAATTTGCAGCATAATTGGAAGTGTACCGTCCTATCCCCCTTTGAACTATAAAATAATATTTTGGTAAAATATGGTGAAGGATCCTTACAGTGTATCTTGATCATAGTCCTCCTGAGTTATAATTATCTACATTATTATACTAAAATTGTGGCTCTTCCTCATAAGATATTAATATATTCACTATATGAAATTAACTAATTGCATAGCTCCAATAAAATATTAACTTATTCAACTGTTAAAGTAAGAATATCGGCCAGGCGCGGTGGCTCGTGCCTGTAATCCCAGCACTTTGGGAGGCTGACACAGGAGAATCACTTGAACCTGGGAGGCAGAGGTTGCAGTGAGCCAAGACTGCGCCATTGCACTCCAGTTTGGGCAACAGTGAGACTCCATCTCAAAAAAATAAATAAAATAAATAAAGTAAAAATATTAATTGCATACAAAAAAGAAATATGCTGGATACCGTCCATTGTATTAGCAATTTCAAGGCTAAACATTACTTTTTTTTTTTTTTTTGAGATGGAATTTTGCTCTTGTCGCCCAGGCTGGAGTGCAGCGGCTCAATCTCGGCTCACTGCGACCTCTGCCTCCCAAGTTCAAGAGATTCTCCTGCCTCAGCCTCCCTAGTAGCTGGAATAACAGGCGCCCGCCACCATGCCTGGCTAATTTTCTTTGTATTTTTAGTAGAGACGGGGTTTCACCATGTTGGCCAGGCTGGTCTCAAACTCCTGACCTCAGGTGATCCGCACGCCTCAGCCGCCCAAAGTGCTGGGATTACAGGCATGAGCCACCGTGCCCGGCCTCAACATTACTTTCGATCTCAAGACTGGAAGTGCAGTACTCAACAAAGTAATTGGGGAAAAAAATAGTTTTTGATGTAAAAATTTTAGAGTTCTTGATCTTTGAATGAAGTTGGTCTCCCAATAAATTTCAAACGAATAAGAAACATTAGATTTGTTTCCTTCTGGCTCTAGTATATAGGAAAGACATTTGCAAAGCAGGTATTCCAAAATATGAGGCAAAATCATCATTCTTGCCCCCCCCCCCAAAAAAATCTTCTAGCAACTGTTGTAACACAGAGCCATTATAATGTAATTAGACAGACTAAGAACCAGATGCTAAGGAAGCAAAATATAAAAGATGAAGCATGATATTATTTTGGTTAATGAATTTAATTCCAAATGTTACAGGAGTGATTCATGGACTTTTTTTTTCCCAAAAGATCAGTTGTCACATGTACATATTGCATTTTAACATGATGTTTATGTAATCTAATGAGAAAAGTAAATTCTCATGTAATATTAGATGTTTCGAAATGGATAAACTGCAGACACTTCCACGGGTAGATGAATAATTCGTCAATAGTGATAAGTTAATCTTTAAACTTACCCCTCAAAATGGTTAAGAGTTAGGTTATACTATAAATGTAATATAATTCCATAAAAATAACCAAGACAAAAAATACTTTAGAAATATTGAAAATATAATATTTGTTTTCCTCTAATATCCTCAATCTGGTATTATTGTGTAATTCGAATATATGGCAATATTATTATTATTTTTTTTTTTTTTTGAGACAGAATCTCACTTTTTTGCCCAGGCTGGAGTGCAGTGGCATGTTCTTGGCTTACTGCAGCCTCCACCTCCCGGGTTCAAGCGATTCTCCTGTCTCAGCCTCCCGAGTAGCTGAGATTACAGATGCCCACCACCACGCCTGGCTAAATTTTGTATTTTTAGTAGAGACGGGGTTTCACCATGTTGGCCAGGCTGGTCTCGAACTCCTGACCTCAGGTGATCCGCCTGCCTCAGACTCCCAAAGTGCTGATATTACAGGTGTGAGCCACCACCGTGCCCGGCCAGCAAAATAATTCTTAAAATTCAACTTAAAAATTACTCCAAGAAATGTGTAGGTAAAAGTCAAAACACTTTAGTAAATCCACATTTTGTATTTCCATTTATAGTAACCTCTAGTGCTCATTATTTTGAAGATAAAACTTTCTTATACAGTAAGCTTTTTAAAATGTGAGACCAAATCAAACAACAAGAGCGTAATGAAAAACGATAGAAGGAAAACAACTAAAATAAGAACCTCCTAGCTCAGATTTATTCTAAAAAGTTGAAAATAAATATAATGTAGAAGTTATTATTATGAAAACATAAATAATAATATTTTTTCATAGATAGTAACACTAGCTTTACTCTGAAAGTAGAATCTGTGCTTCATTAATAGTGCCTGTGTTTAACACTTTGATAACTCACCATACAGAAGTATAGCCTCAGTGTTCCCAGATTCCTGTTCCTAGGGATGAATGATCACATTAGGAAGGTACATTCCTGTTAATTTGGCTAAATCTGCCAGCCCAAATCATAAAGTTCTCCTAAAGATGCTCTATCTCAAGAGCAAACACTTAGGAAAATTGTTAATGTTTATAACAAGGCAATCAACATCTCATTTAAATATTCAGAAATTGATCCTTCCACTTCATACTTTCAGTTAGGATGAGCATTGAAAACATGTAGTAAAGCACAACCTCAGCATTCATAATGAATATGATAAGAACAAGCCTTTTCTCATTCATGTTTACTACCAAACATCTGTTGAATAAACTACTTAATCCTTACAAACATAACCAGATTATTTTCAGCAACAATACAAACTCTATAGTGATAACAGCTGGTCCTTTACTTTCTTCAGGGATATACACTCCACATATATTTCATTTCTTCTCAAGTTAAGTGACAAAAAGCTAAAATGGATTGTGATGCAGTCAAAGCCACGAATGACACAGTTTTCTACCATAGACAAGGGGATAATTTTTTTTTTCTTTCAATGTAAGCCACAAGTGTAATGGGGGGATCTCCTAAACGAAAGGCATTATGGTAGGGGGAGGTTCCTTTTCAAGACCACGCCTAAACTACTGATAAATATGATAAATATATGGTTGTAAAAGACAACATTTCTTTTTTTTTTTTTCGAGATGGAGTCTCGCTCTGTGGCCCAGGCTGGAGCTCAGTGGCGTGGTCTCGGCTCACTGCAAGCTCCGCCTCCTGGGTTCACGCCATTCTCCTGCCTCAGCCTCCTGAGTAGCTGGGACTACAGGCGCCCGCAACCACGCCCGGCTAATTTTTTGTATTTTTAGTAGATACGGGGTTTGTATCACTGTGTTAGCCAGGATGGTCTCGATCTCCTGACCTCGTGATCCGCCGGCCTCCCAAAGTGCTGGGATTACAGGCGTGAGCCACTGCGCCCGGCCAAAAGAAAACGTTTCTATGAACACAGTATTACTTATACAATATTTAAAAACATATTATTTGATGCTCAATGTTTTATAAACAATGATTCAAAAATGCAGAGCTGGGTGAGCACGGCGGCTCATGCCTGTAATCCCAGCACTTTGGGAGGCCGAGGACAGAGGATCACCTGAGGTCAGCAGTTCGAGACCAGCCTGGCCCACATGGTGAAACCCATCTCTACTAAAAATACAAAAATTGGCCAGGCATGGTGGCGTGCACCAGTAATCCCTGCTATTCGGGAGGCTGAGGCAGAAAAATCGCTTGAACCCAGGAGGCAGAGGTTGCAGTGAGCCGAGATGGTGCCACTGCACTGCAGCCTGCGAGACAGAGTGAAACCCAGTCTCAAAAAAACCAAAACAACGACAAAAAACCACAGGGCTGGCCGGGCACAGTGGCTCACACCTGTAATCCCAGCACTTTGGGAAGCTGAGGCAGGTGGGTCACCTGAGCTCGGGAGTTTGAGATCAGCCTGAGTGATAAGGCAAAACCCCATCTCTACAAAAAGTACGAAAATTAGCTGGGTGTGGTGGAGCGCTGGTAGTCCCAGCTACTCGGGAGGCTGAGGTGGGAGGATCACTTGAACTCAGGAGGTCAAGGGTTCAGTCAGCCATGATCGACCACTGCACTCCATCCTGGATGACAGAGAAAAAAAATGCAGAGCTACTGAGGTATTTACAAAGAAATATAAAGCACAGCACGTGCTCTCAGGAAATCTATAAAAAAGTTAAAAAGTTATGGAATCAAAGTTAATCCACAGGAAATAATTAGCAAGCAATTATGTCGATAACTGGGTAGAAATAACTATGTGGAACAAAAGTTCATAGAAAAAAGAGGTGTTTCAAGCCGTTAGAGAAAGTGTTGTGGTAACTAGGACTTGAATTGAATTTTTGAAGATGGGAATGCTTTAGAACCAAAAGTCGATGGAGGAAAAAGATTCCAGAAAGGGGGAATCAGACTAGAAAAGCAAGAATAAATGAGCTGGCCTGTATAGGAGAGAGAATATTTTATGCAGAGTATATAGATAAAGTAACACAGTTCAAACCCTTAAAAGTGTATAGCCAGCATAGTTTTCTGCCAGGATTCATACTGCTCTCAAATCAGAAGATACTCTACTAGATTTAAGAATTACATAGTCAATCAGCTGAAAGCCTTGGAACTTTCGGCTACATAGTCATTAAAAACACTACTATTATAGCTCAATTTCACCAGGCCACATTATATATATATATATTTTTTAACATAATGTACACAATACATATATACAATTTTGCCAATTAAACTTGTTTTTCAAAAAGTAACTCATTTTATCTAAAGAAGTTAAGCTCATCAAAGCAAAGTGGAACAGTGGTAGCCAGTAACTGGGGATGGAAAAAAATGGGGAAATGCTGGTCGAAGGATAGAAACTCTCAGTTATAAGATGAGTAAGCTCTGGGGATCTAATGTACAGCATGTTGACTATAGTTAATAGTACTCTATTGTTACTTGAAATTTGCTAAGAGAGATCTTAAGTGTTCTCATCATAAAAAATTATAATGGCAACTATGTGAGGTGAAGGATATATTAATTAACTTGATTGTGATAATCATTTCAGAATGTATATGTATCAAATCATCATATTGTACACCTTGAATATACCCAATCGCCATTTGTCAATTATACCTCAATAAAGCTGGGGGAAAAGGTACCTCATATTTATTATTACATTTTATTGTTATAACACATATATTTTATCTCATTTGACCCTTGAAGTAACTGAACCTAAAAAGCAGTATTTTTAGATATGAAAACTGAGGCCCATTGAGGATTAATGATTCTCAAAGCCACAGGGTAAGCAGTAAAGTTACAACTCCTCTCATGTGTCCTGATTACAAATCATTACCTAACGTCTGTAATTTCCTTGCATCATCGAGAACCTGAAACTTTTATCATAAAAACATTTCTAGGAAATCTGGTACCATACGCTAATCAACTATGGAAAGAAAATCCATTTTTAAAGGAGTATCTCAACTTGTTGCAATTTGCACATAAAAATATCCTTTGTCTCATATACTACGGGACAAAACAGAAGCAGAAACAATGAAATAGGTTCACCATTAGAGATCTGACTAGTCTTGAAATGTAGACAATTCAGGTCATTAGTCATGGAGTCCTAAGGGGAAAAAGCATGCCTGATTCCACACTAGTAAAGCCAGAAGCTATCTAATTTACATCCTATACTTGGCTGAGGATATCAGATGTGTTCAGGCTGAACAAGTTCAAGACTCTTTTTTTTTTTTTTTTGAGACGGAGTCTCGCTCTGTCGCCCAGGCTGGAGTGCAGTGGCGCGATCTCGGCTCACTGCAAGCTCCGCCTCCCGGGTTCACGCCATTCTCCTGCCTCAGCCTCCCGAGTAGCTGGGACTACAGGCGCCCGCTACCACGCCCGGCTAATTTTTTGTATTTTTAGTGGAGACGGGGTTTCACCGTGTTAGCCAGGATGGTCTCGATCTCCTGACCTCGTGATCCGCCCGCCTCGGCCTCCCAAAGTGCTGGGATTACAGGCGTGAGCCACCGCGCCCGGCCAAGACTCTTGCTTGAGTAATTTAAAGGGATGTGACACAGTCTGAATAGTAATTGGTTATTTAATAATCCTGCCTGCAGTGGCAACATAAGCTTGCTTTACTCTTAAGCACTGGATAGGACAAACTGTCTTACTCAGTCCTAGGAAAAGAAACGTTCATCTGAACAAAAGATTTAAAGTCGACCTGATGTGAAATCCTGAAATACATTTTGAAAATGAATGGATTAGCGATAAAATTAATGAGAAGACTAAAGTCTCTGAAATGAAACATTTTTGGCATGTGATAACCTGATATGCTCCCCTCAAAAGTCCCTTGGAATTAGCCTAGCTATCTCAGCATAGCTTTTCTTACATCATGGGTATTACATTAGCCAAGCCAACTTGTCTATTTGTCCTTGTCTCACATCACTTTTCACCCTCAACTTTTACTCCATTTATGCCAATCTCCTTATCCACAGCAAGATGCTACTTTGACTTTTTGGCCTTTCTCAGCATGCTTCTTCACCACTGTGGAAGAGCTTCCCAGTACAACTACTACTACTGCCAACCACAACCTCCATATCTGACACTAAATCCTTGCCTACTAAACTGCTCATTATCTTTAAAATTGGCATCACTCACTTCTACTTCACACATCCACTGTTCGATATCCAGCCAAGCCTGGACTCTGACTGATCACTTCAGTGCTACATACAAAGACACCTTAGACTTTACTTCCTTGAACTTTATTGAACATCTTTACTTCCTTGAACACATTGTATATATAATAGAGAAGGAGGCATATAACATGACATATGTCAAAAATATGTCATATATGTCATATATATGTTTTATATATATATATACACACACACACATATAAAATGAGCTCAAGGAAGTAAAGAATTGTAAGTATTGTCTTCTTTCTCCAATACCTACTCCTCTTTGCTAAGGCATCAGATGATGTTGTTTGTGACTCAGTAAATCACTATTATCCACCATCAACTGAACCATGCTGTTACTCTTTCCCATTAGTTTATTCCGCAAATACATATTAAGCTACTACTGCGTGACTGACAATATGCATGTTAGTGTATATTCAGTGGCGATCAAGGCAGTTAGAGGATGGATGAGGAGAGCATTCCAGGAAGAGGCAATAGCAGTACAGAGACTGGCATTTGAGAAATGGCAGCAGGTCAGTATGGCTGAAATGCAGCAAGACTGCAGAAGAAAAGGAAGAAAAATGAAGTGTGGTTCTTGGTAAAGATATTGGACGCATCAGAGCAGTAACGAATTTTAATCAGAGATTGACACAACCTGGTTTATGTTTTTAAAAGCTCAACCTTTAGGCCATGTAGAGTATGGAGTGAGTAGAAAAGGACAAAAGCACAAGTGGCAAAGATGAGTTGGGGGATTATTGTAGTATCTAAGGGTAAATTAGACTAGGATGGAAACAAAATATATGGATGATATATGTCCATTTTCTCTGCTGTTCCATGAGCCTTTTCTTCACTTACTGGGCTATCTGGTCCATCTCCCATAACCAGTCTTCTAACCCTTCCTATTGATTTGCAGGTTCACTAACTGTTTCCTTTCGATCCACCTCCTGTTCACTTTTAGGTACTAAACAGAGTGAAGTCATCCCGTGTGAGTTTCCTCACCCTCCCTCCCTCTAACATCTTAAGTGCCTTTGCCCTGTTTTGTTTAAGCATGTGAAACAATTTCTCGCTAACCTTCTGTGTTACTTTAGATTCTCCCCAGACAGACACTGAGGCAAGGATTTGAGGTGCAGGTACACAGTTTATCTGGCAATTGATTACAAAAAGTACAAGTGAGAGGAAAGAGAAAGTGAGATTAGGAAAGGTAAGGAGGCAATCAAAGGTGTGTCAATGAGCACATTATTCTGGGGCTCAGTCCTGCTGGTGAATCTCTGAGAAGCTGTGAGGAACATGCCTCAGAATTATGCACCAGAAGATGAGATGGCTGCGTGCTTTTTTCAAGTACTTCCATCCCCTCGTAGTTAAAGGTCGCTTCTGGTGACATTAACACAACCCCTCATATTTCTGGCTTACTCCTGTTTATAGCAAAGCAAGATACTGCATGGAACTCGGGTGGGGAAAGAAATATGCGGCAGAACATCAGCAACAACTTTTACATCTTCTTATCCCTTCAGGATCTTGTTTATTTCTCTCCTCTATTGAAACACTTTTTAGGCCAGGCACAGTGGCTCACGCCTGTAATCCCAGCACTTTGGGAGGCCGAGGCAGGCGGATCACCTGAGGTCAGGAGTTCAAGACCAGCCTGGCCAACGTGGCGAAACCCCGTCTCTACTAAAAATACAAAAATTAGCCAGGTGTGGTGGCGTGTGCCTATAATCCCAGCTACTCGGGAGGCTGAGGCAGGAGAATCGCTTGAAACAGGGAGGCGGAGGTTGCAGTGAGCTGAGATCGTGCCACTGCACTCCAGCCTGGGTGACAGAGCATGACTCTCTCAAAAAAAAAAAAAAAAAAAAAAAAAAAGACTTTTTAAAGGGGTTATTATTAGGGGCTATATACTGGATCTTATAAATCATCTAGTCCAACCCTATTATGTGAAGATTAGAAAACAAAGCATTCACATTATTCTATCGATTTTTGGAATGCTATTTGCAAACTTTTTTCTGGGCCCACTTAAATGTATAAGTTTTCCATATTTTATGTTGGTTAATAAGATTAAAACCAATTTTAATATCTTGACACCACATTGCCATTTATCAATATGTACTACGTTTTTTACTGGTTCCTCAAATCTCAAATCTGTGCCAGCGTCTGTTGAATTTTTATAATTTTGACTCAATTTATCATTCTTTTTTTTTTTTTTATTGAGACGGAGTCTTCCTCTGTCTCTCAGGCTGGAGTGCAGTGGCACTATCTTGGCTCACCGAAACCTCCGCCTCCCAGGTTCAAGTGATTCTCCTGCCTCAGCCTCCCTAGTAGCTGGGACTACAGGCGCATGCCACCATGTCTGGTTAATTTTTTTGTATTTTTGGTAGAGACGGGGTTTCACCATGTTGGCCAGGCAGGTCTCGACATCCTGACCTCAAGTAATCCGCCCACCTTGGCCTCTCAAAATGTTGGGATTACAGGCGTGAGCCACCACGCCTGGCCTATCATTCTTTTTTAATTTGCAGACTTTTAAGAACAGGCTAATTTGAGACACAGAACCACAAAAGCTACTTACGTTCCAAAATGCTCTGCAGAATCTCTTTTTGCATGTGCTACGTATGGCCTTTGGGAGAAGTACATTTTTTGTAGTTGTTTTGTGGTTTTTTGAAATGACTAGAAATATTTTTAGGGCCCTAGAAACCTCCAAGGTAAGTGTTTAGAAATTGTGCTTCTAGGAATCTGTCAGTACTTTTGTAAACATTATCTGAAGCATAAGCATAAACAAATTTGAACAGCAGGCTAGCTCACACAGAAATGATTTTATTCATTGGAATGTTCTCACATGTGGTATACTTTATTTTTAGTTTGGTTTCATTTATGATTAATAATTATGATTCCAAAGGTGCTTAAATCAGCCGGCCATGGTGGTTCATGCCTGTAATCTCAACACTTTGGGAGGCCGAGATGGGCAGATCACTTGAGGTCAGGAGTTCGAGACCAGCCTGGCCAACAGGGTGAAACCCCGTCTCTCCTAAAAATATAAAAATTAGTCAGGCACGGTGGTGCATGCCTGTAATCCCAGTTACTGAGGAGGCTCAGGCAGGAGAATTGCTTGAGCCTGGAGGTGGAGGTTGCAGGGAGCCGAGATTGCACCAGTGAGCTCCAGCCTGGGTGACAGAGTGAGACTCCGTCTCAAAAACAAACAAACAAACAAACAAAAAACAAAAAACAAAAATCAAAGGTGGTGAAATAATTTTGTTGAATATTTGGCACTGTCTACATTAATGCACACACTCAATGTATATATTTTAACTTAATTTATACTTAAAATTGTATAAAATTATTTTAGTCAAAGAACCTAATGCAGCTTAGCCTTGATTGATAATTTCATTATCTTTAATTACATGGCAGAATTTCTCCTCATTACTCTTTAACCAAAAGGCTGTGGTAGAAATCATTGATGCTCATTTTTATTGGAAAGTAATTTTTCTAGATTTCCTGATAATTGAGTGATAACTTCAGCACTCCTTAGTCACTTTTCATTATGCAGACAAAATCTGACTCTTAACTTTCAAAAAAATATCTTACCATAATGTATTTTCAAATAACATGAGTTTAATTAAAAAGAACTTTCCCACAGGTTCATGTTTAATCTTGGTTTGAGTCTTGAATATAGAGTGAAGCGAAGTACAACTTTTTCTGCTTTGGACAAATTTAGAGCTGCTTGAAGAGATAAAAACAAGCGGGGACCTCCCTCTAAACCTTCCACTTCTCTTTCTCTCCCTCTCTCAACTGTGTTCCGAATGCTTTCTCTAAAACACAGAGGCTGAGTTTTGACTGGCTGGAAAAACATCAGTTTATTTCATGTTCTTCCTTTCTCCAGCTTCCATTTCAATTCCAAGTGTGGCCCAAAAGAAAAGATAGGAACTGCATAAGGATGTTTCAGTCAATGATAAACTGCATATACCGCAGTGGTCCCATTTGATTATAACACGGGATTTTTACTGTACCTTCTAATGGTTAGATATGTTTTAGACATTGAAATATTTACCATTGTGCTACAGTTGCCTACAGTATTCAGTACAGTCACATGCTGTACAGGTTTGTAGCCAAACAGAAATAGGATATACCATACAACCTAGGTCTGCACTACGCTATACCACGTAGGTTAGTGTAAGTACACTCTGTGACATTCACACAACGATGAAATTACCTTAGTATGGATTGATCAGAATGTATCCCTGGTGTTAACACATAACTGTATATATCCTGTGTGTGTTTGTGTGTCACTGAAGAGATATGATTCCTTCACCATGAGGAATCAGAAAACTGAAAAGGTAAACAAATTATTGTATCCTGAAAGTCTCAAATGAGTTTTTGTTCTACTTTCTTTTGTTTTTTTTTGAGACAGAATCTACCTCTGTCGCCCAGGCTGGAGTGCAGGGGTGCGATCTCGGTTCAATGCAACCTCCGCCTCCCGGGTTCAAGCAATTCTCCTGCCTCAGCCTCCCGAGTAGCTGGGATTTCAGGAACCTGCCACCACAACCTGGCTAATTTTTGTATTTTTAGGAGAGACAGGGTTTCGCCATGTTGGCCAGGCTGGTCTCAAACTCCTGACCTCAAGTGATCTGTACACCTCAGCCTCCCAAATTGCTGGGATTACAGGTATGAGCCACCACGCCCGGTTCAAATGAGTTTTTTTTTTTTTTTTTCAGTCCAATATTAAAACAAACGAAAACCAGAATGCCTTTTGTTCTCACATTCAATTCATAATCTAATAGCTATCAGAATAAAATGTCATATTTATTATTCATTTGGAAGAAAACAAACAGCAGTAAAAATTGAAATAAAAGGCTGGGCGTTGTGAGTCACTCCTATAATCCCAACACTTTGGGAGGCCGAGGTGGGCGGATCACTTGAGGACAGGAGTTAGAGACCAGCTTGGCCAACATGGTGAAACCCTGTCTCTAATAAAAATACAAAAAAATTAGCTGGGCGTAGTGGCGAATGCTTATATCCCAGTTACTTGGGAGGCTGAGGCAGAAGAATTGCTTGAACCCAGGAGGCGGAGGTTGCAGTGAGCCCAGATAGTGCCATTGCACTTCAGCCTGGGCGACAGAGGGAGACGCTGTCTCAAAAAAATAAAATAAAAATAAAAATACCCTGGCCAGGCACGGTGGCTCACGCCTGTAACCCCAGCACTTTGGGAGGCCAAGGCATGCGAATCACGAGGTCAGGAGTTAGAAACAAGCCTGGCCAACATGGTGAAACCTCGGCTCTACTAAAAATACAAACATTAGCTGGGCGTGGTGGCAGGCGCCTGTAGTCCCAGCTATTCGGGAGGCTGACGCAGGAGAATCACTTGAACCTGAAGGGCGGAGGTTGCAGTGAGCCGAGATCGTGCCACTGCACTCCAGCCTGGGCGAATAGAGGGAGACTCTGTCTGAAAAAAAAAAAAAAAAAAAAAAAAAAAAAAAAAACCGAAAGAAATAAAAATACCCTGTCTTTATTTTCTTCCTTGGCAAAATTGTCTGTAGGATTCACTCATCCATTTATTTAATTAATTTATTGAATTCCCATTACATTCCAAGCAGGTATTAACTACTAAGGATTCAATGATGAAAGACAAGGTGTATAGGAGACCTAGTACGTACAGCCTTAGTTTCTTTTCTCAGATTTATGCTCTAAAATTCCGTTAAGAATGGATTTATTGGCTGGGTGCGGTGGCTCACGCCTGTAATCCCAGCACTTTGGGAGGCAGAGGCAGGTGGCTCACCTGAGGTCAGGAGTTCGAGACCAGCCTGACCAACATGGAGAAACTCCGTCTCTCCTAAAAATACAAAATTAGCTTGGTGTGGTGGTGCATGCCTGTAATCCCAGCTACTCGGGAGGCTGAGGCAGGAGAATTGCTTGAACCCAAGAGGCGGAGGTTGCGGTGAGCCTAAATCTCGCCATTGCACTCCAGCCTGGGCAACAAGAGCGAAAGTCCATCTAAAAAAAAAAAAAAAAAAAAAAAAAAGGCTTTATTTTTATGAAGAAAACCATAAATTAATGTCATAAATCTTATCTATGTTAATAATTATCAGTTGCTTTAATCATGAAAACAAAAGGGAAAAACTGGCAAGTGAGCCAGGCTGAAATAATTCAATATAATATTTAAAGATTAGAAATATGGTACACTTGTTTTCTAAAGATCAGCTCCATCTTATCAAACTGGAATAACATCTGAATTAAAATAATGTGACATTGTCATCAAAGCTCTGATTATTGCTGAAGCATGTGATAGGTAGGACTGGCCAAAAATTAATACATTAGAAAAGTTAAATAAAAAATAATATATATTTCCTTGATATGTTTAATCAAAAACATGGAGAAAATAATTGTAATAAAAATGTCTACATCCTTAAAGGCATGTTCACCCCTAACTCTCAGTTACGAACATCTAGATTAAATTTCATTAAAAGTCAATTATCCATATTAAACATTTAATCTAAACGTTGCGCCCCATTAGAATACATCAAAAGCTTACATTTTACTAAAAGAAAGTGACTACAATGAATGAACATATAACTTTATAGCAAAGGTTATAATTTTTGAATGTTTGACTTTAGTTGTTAACATTTTTAAAGACGTTCTAATTTTTTACGAAGCATTATAATTAAGCAAAATATCCAGTTTTTTCATAGTTTCAGTTTTCAAACTGTGGCTTTGGTAAGGTAAGTTGGAAAACATCTTAGTTTTAATGGCCCAAAAGGGGAGACTTTGATGTATAGTATAGATTCAAGTGCTTATCTCATGGATCATGCTTTCATTTTACTAAAAATATAATAGACTAAAACTTTACATAGGGAGAAATCGCAGAGAATAAGAATCAAAGGAGTAATTAAAAATTGAGGGTTTTGGGAGGCTGAGGCAGGAGAATCACTTGAACATGGGAGGTGGAGGTTGCAGTGACCCGAGATCGTGCCATTGCACTCTAGCCTGGGTGACAGAGCGAGACTCCGTCTCAAGAAAAAAAAAAAAAATTGAGGTTTTACGTATTTGAGACCTAATGACCAATTGTTTACTTTTGTCAACAGTAATTTTACTGCTAAGTAATTTAAGTAATTTTACTGCCAGTTTCAGCAGGAATACAATTTCCTAACATAGATATTTAATATTTTATTCAATATTTTAATATATTAATCTTTAGTAGAATATATGCTTCAATTTTGTGAGGATATGTGTTTATTTTCTTGTACAGTGTAAACTAAACAACGCATAAAGAGAACACAGGTAACTAGATTAAGAACAATTATTTTCTGCTCTTTGTATTAGAACACTCATTTTCTGTTCTTAGTAATCTAGCAGCATCAGCATCTCCTAAAAAATCTGTTAAAAATGCAGAGGTTGGGGCCCCACTTCAGAAGGACTGAATCAGAAACTCTGGGGGTGGCATCCAGCAAGCTGTGGTTTAACCAGCCCTCCAGGTGAATCTGATGCCCACTCAAGGAAGAGTGAGAACCACTGTTCTAATCTATCGTCTTCCAAGAGTGTGTGGGAAGATCAAAGAAAAATCAGGTCATGGGGCTTTGCGGAGAACAATCAAACAAATACATAAATCAAGGACTCTATAAGCATAATTTAATAAATAGACGGATGATTGTTTTTAACTTATTTTTCAATTTCCTCCTTAGTTTGTACATGCATTTAGAGATAATCTCAGCAATGTCAGCGAGCTTGGTGGCATAGTTCAAGCTGTGAAGGTTCAATAAATAGGTCGGTAAACATTGCAAATCAACACAGCTTTTGATGAAATGTCAGGCAAGACAGGGCTTAGCTATATTCGGCTCAGCTTGAACTCATAAACCATCAACTGGCCTCTGTACTTCCAGGACAATCTGATGAATAAAATACAGATATAAAATTAAAAAATATATTTATAAAGAGATTAGTAAAACAGCAATCTGTAAGTGAGAAATGACAACCACTTAGTCCAGACCAAATGAGAGAGAAGACTTGCAAAAGGGTAACTTTTCTTACAAATCAAGTTATGGGAAAATTTGAGATCCAAATAGACTTTTAACTTTGGATTGTCTTTATTCCCAACACACGTTTTTAATTTAATGCGGTGTACTTTATCCTAACTCTTTTAGCTCACCCCCCTGAAAAAAAAACTAGCTGTCTTCCTAAAGATAGAGAAAACTTGTCCAAGTCAGAAACTCTTTGGAATTTTAATAAAAGTAACATAATTTAGAAATTAATATACTTCAAATATACTGACAGTATATATTGGCAACAGAATATATGCTAATTTAGAATTTTAGGATATTCTATAATTAAAAAAAAACCTGATAAATCACTACACCTTTTCACTTTATTTAGAAGCTACCATTTAATAATAAGTGTTTAACCTCTAAAATCATTCTGAGATATTTCAGATAATTAGGCAGCCTGGAATTACTGTTTACAATTGTCCCAGTTTGCTTCCTAATAAGTTGTGCTTGTCTAAACATGTCTAAATTACTATTCACAAGGATCCTTGTTATTTCCGTCTTCTTTGATTAAAAACTTCTTAAAAATGTGAGTGTATATGTGTATGTATATATATACACATACACATATTCATATGTACATATATGCATAAATAAGCCCATATATATATGTGAAACACAGGTTTTTCTATTGTTAATATAAAAATCCCTCATTAGTTTTCTAATGAGTTTATGAATGTAGTCTACGTCCTTAGAAATTTAATTTGAGGTAAAAATATTATCGTTTATAGATTAAGGTCTGGATATTTTTTTCTTTTCTTCATACTAGAAATAATTTTAGATACCTGAAGACAAAGTTCATTAAAGCCACAACCCAAAAAGTAGAATATGGGTTCCTTCTTATTTCAGTGATTTGCATTATCCTATAGGTTATTGGTGTCAAACCCCTTTCTTCCCTTCCTCACAACAAAAGCCCCAATTTAACTTTTATAGAAAGGCATATGGAACAGGAGTCATCCAAATATATCCCAGGGGTTGCAAATTGACCAAAAGAGTCACCTTTAGGGAAGCCTGCTTCTGAATGCTTGTGGAATTTATCATTCTTCTGAATGGCTGTTGCATTTATCTGCAGCTTTTACTCACCAGATGAGACCTCAGACATTTCAAATTCTGCGGAGGCTGGCTACACACCTTCATAGGAAAGCTTTTTGCTGATTTCCCTGTTGGTACTTTTCTCTTACACATTCTATGGGGTATGGTAAACCTGGAGGTAGAGTCATAGCCAAGCACAGATAAAGCAGGCACAGAATCTCTGACCAGCCTCACAAAAGCAGACAAACACACAATCTTTTTGCACCTGTTTCTTCCACTCCGGTTGCCGTGAATAGTGAGGTGTTCTCACAGATTCAGCTTCACAGACAGCATTTTGCAAACACTCCCCTCTCACAGCAATGGTTTCTTCCCTCACCGGCTCAATCTACCTGATTACGTTCCCTTCTAATCAGTAACCTCAGTTCCTCTAGAAATAACTGTGTCGTCTGCTTTATATAGGATTTATCTGAGTCTGAAGCAGAAACTGGAAAGTAGACTTAGAGGAGCTGATTATTATGAAGACACCTGTATTTTTGTCTGGTATTCACGTGAACTCGACAGTGCACTCATTTATGCAAACTGGTGTTAGTGAAAAAGAAAAAGAAGCAGAGAAGGAAGCAAAAAGAAGAGACTGGACCTATAAAGTTGCGCACCTGTGTGATGCTAGGAGAAGAAAATAACTCTAAAAACGTCCAGTGCTGCTGAAAACACATTTGAACTTCCTATGAAAACCAACAGTGCTTGACATACAAATATCTTCCTCCAGACACACCTTTAAAAATACATTTTAAAATCTGAAACAATCTTAAACTCAATCTAAACCACAATGCAGAAGTTAATTCTTAAGGCAAATGGAGATTAAGAACGAAACTTCATCCACATAAACCCTGTGTTTTAAAAAAAGAATTAAAAGGAATAATCCGTATAACTTACTCAAATTTGTATTTGAAGTTAAACCTTGAATCCTGCTTCTTGAAAAAACAGAATTGTGTCAGGCTTCTGTAATGACTGTTTACCCAGAGCATAAGATTGAAGTGGATTTTCAGATTAAAAATAAAACTCTTAAGTATGTCAATCCCCATCTGATCAAAGCATATAAACTAAATTTTTCCAAGGACTTCATTAACAATATAACCAAGTAGAGCTGCAGTTCTTGGTTTTCTTTAGAGTAAGTTGTTAAAATGATTGAAGTTCATGTAAAAGAAATCCAGAGTTACAGTTAAGGTTTGCTTTTTTTTTTTTTTTTTTTTTTTTTTTTTTTAGTAGATCCAGTGCCCGGCAAACAGTATGTGCTCAACATATGTTTATTTAATGCGACCAAAAGCATACAATATAAAGTGTCATTATCATTGCCACTGATATTTTTAAAAAGCCATGTTCTATACTTATTTCATTTTTACGTAAGCCACAATTTTACAAGGTTTCAAACAAAAAAAAAAACCCACACCTTGTTTTCTTTAATATAAAATATTTGGCAATTATAAGCATGGACCGTGCTGGCAGTAAGTTAAAATGTGACTGATTTTTTTTTTCTCCGTTCCCTACTCTCAATTTTCAGATGCGGAAATTTCATTTGGAGAGAACAGGAGGTGTTGGTGGGAAAAATCTCATTAATCGTACCGTATTCCCTTGTCTACAAAGAGTACTGCATCCAAATTACAGAAGAACTAAAGAAACCTTGTAGCATGAGTATAATTAGCAGTGCTACTAAGTGAATGGAAATGGAGGTTGCCTAACTTAATTAACTGTAATCATTACTCATTGTCGTACTGCTTAGAAAGATTAGTTGAGGGTATTTCTTCTGTGGTATTACTTTAGGCGTTTCTCCTTCCCTCTTAAATGTGAAACAATTACACTATAAAGAAAGAATTAGCATGCCCTTTCAATCAGATAGAAGCTTTTCCGAACAAGTAAGTTCCATGTCCTAGCTCGAGGGCGGCAAAACAGGAATGATGGGAAAATATTTAGTTGGGCCAAAGTTAGAGAAATTAAGAAAAAAGTAGTTAATTGCAGAAGTTACTGACTTGAGGAGGAAAAAAGGAACCCTATATATGAGTTTCTGTAAAGAAATTAGCTCTTGGCCAGGGAAGAAATAAATAACAAATTAAGATCTAAAGGGAAAAATTAAGGATAACACAGTACAAATACGCAGTACTGTCTGATGAAGTTGTTCACAATTGCACAACAGTGCAAGATTCCACAATGCACCTTCAAGGACACTGTAGCTAAGGATTGCTTTCTGATCATTTATCCTTTTAGCGGAAGACACTTGGCATCTGGGAACATTTGTTCTTTTGAATAAAAATCACCTCATACCTAAAAGGAACCTTTATAAATATCAGAAAAACAGGAATGTCTGTGACGACGATCATTGGTGGGGCTTGGCCTCATTAGCTCTGGGGCCACTAGTGTAAAAAAAGGTTCACAGGGACTCTCTTCTAGTAGGGACTATATATATATATAAATATATATATATATGACGGAGTTTTGCTCTTGTTGCCCAGGTTGGAGTGCAATGGCGTGATCTCGGCTCACCGCAACCTCTGCCTCCCGGGTTCAAGCGATTCTCCTGCCTCAGCCTCCGGAGCAGCTGGGACTACCATGCGCCACCACGCCCAGCTAATTTTGTATTTTTAGTAGAGACGGGGTTTCTCCATGTTGGTCAGGCTGGTCTCGGACTCCCGACCTCAGGTGATCCGCCTGCCTCGGCCTCCCAAAGTGCTGGGATTACAGGCGTGAGCCACAGCGCCTGGCCGGGACTTCATATTTAATGAGGCTTTTCACTGTTCTAGGAATTAAACTGAGTTTCAGGTATTGCATTCAAGAATCTTCTCAGCAAACCTGCAATATTGGTAATGTTATTCCTTAAACTCGTTTTACAGGTGAGGAGATTGGAGCTCAGAGAGGTTTTTCAGTCATCCAACTAACCGGAAGTGCTTAAGAATCCAGCTCTACCTGACTCCCTAAACAAGTGTGTGTCAAGAGTTAATGGGCATACAAACCACCTGGGTATCTTGGTAAAATACGGGTTCTGATTCGGTAATTTTAGGTGGGACCTGAGATTCTGCATTTCCAATAAGTTCCCTGGGGCTGCTGCGGCTGCTGCTGCTGCTGGTGGTCTTTGGACAACACATCGGGTAGCGAGGCCCCTAGACCCGTGGTTCTCCAACTTTGCTGATATTAGAATCCCCTGAAGAACTTCTTTAAGAAAAAAACCCAGTGCCCAAACTGCACTTCATATCAATGAAATCAGAGTCTCTAGAAATGAGACTCAAGCAATTCTAATGAACAGCCAAGTTTGAGAATCTGTACCCATTGACATGTTGTTATCAAATTAGGTGCTCATCAGAATCAACTGACGAGCTCATTATAAACCCAGAGACCTACATTCATTAAAGCAGTGATAAGACTTAGGCCTTTGCACATTTAGGTAGACCCCCCAGGTGATTCTGTTATCCAACAGTTTGAGAACCACTTTCTAGACCATGCTCCTTCAAATCAATCAGACCAAGCCCTGCAGACAAACTTACCATTCAGGCAAAAAAAGTTGTGAGTAGGAGCTTGTTTTCATGCATATCCTCAGGGTTCATCGGTACGATAAGATATCCTCCAAGCTAAAAATTCATGGGGCCCTCACACCACCACATCCCCAGTTACAGACATTTTTTTAAACCTCTTTTGTGAGTATCAGTGTACTCATTGTATGCTTACACTGTGTGTGGGTTTTTATGCCTGTGGTTGCGCATTAAATCTATTACTTTGTCAGTACTTCAGGGGAAAGCGTATCAATGTTGTAAGACATTTAATATATGCCCAGGGTAGCTGTATAATTAAAAGGAATTGATTTTGAAAAAGAACCTAATGGTAACCTGAAATGAATAGACAAAATGATCCCTAAGCTCAGTAACAACTGCAGCACAATGTATCACCTTAGGTTAAAACCTAGTTCATAAATAATCCTCAACTCCTCTTCAAGGGCTTGTGAAGATGAGGGTCATTTTGAGAAGTGACACATTTTGGCTTCAGGGGAGTTTTAGCATAACTGCTGTCAGATTATATCTTCTTAAACATTTTCGTTGGCAGTGAAGGGAAGATGTTAGATCATGTTAGAAATGTAACTAATGGGGTCAAAATTTTACTTCCTTACAGCTCTTAAGAGCACATACTTATAGGAAACTCTTTTGGATATCTCCCTTAATATTATCTAGAATTGTCCAACTATTCCTTTAAATGAGCACAACTGGGGCCACTCCTTATGGCTCTGGGCATTGCACCTTGCACAAAGGTGCTTGAGTATCATACCCACATTCCCCCCAGCCATCCCTGTGATCCTCCAATAAAGCAGAGTCATACTGAAAAAAAAGCGTGCTTTCTTTCAAAATTGGCTATTCTGTGGATTTGGGAAGTGGGGAGGATGCCTCTTTGTTTAATTTTCAAAGAGTACCATATAAGCGGGTAGCAGTCCTGCGGACAACAAAGTGTAATAAAAAATGTTTGGGATTTCAGTTGGAAGGCATTGGGAACTAATTTTATGACCTAGGGCAAGGTATTTAAACTTTTAGCATCACCAGGCTTTCCAGCTATAAAATAGCTTGGCAACATGCCATAGACAATCAACACTCAGGCTCCGAAGTCAAAGCAATTTAACTAGGGCTTGAATTCCAGTTCTCCTATGTACTAGCTGCATAATCTTGGCACGTTATGTTATTTATATCACATTTCGTTGTCTGTAAAATGGGGATAATATCAATTCCAGCCTCCTGAGGCTATTGTTAGTTTCCACTACAAGGTGTTTACCACAGTTCCAGATACAGAGTTAGTGCTAAATAAATAGTAGCTACTATTTATCAACAACAATAATAAGATGATAATCACTCACATTTCCCAAGGCTTTGGAGGAAATTAAATCAAATGATGCATACAAAATAAGCCTTTGAAGTGAAAAACACCATAATGTTGTTGAAGATGGGTTTTCTTCCTTTTAGTAATATGTTTGCCATATCTTTGATTTTAAAGAAATAGTAGTGGTTAAAAAAAAAGCAAGTAGTAGGGCCACCAAAGATCTGGCTACAATAATTGTTCTGAGAGGTTAGGCTCCTGCTGAGAGTTGGAGCTAAACCTAGCACCTATATGTAGTAGTACAAACCTAAATATACAGTACATCAGGGAACAACGTAGACTTCGAATGTACAGATTTAAAACTAGAACTGCAATAACCTGGTGACATACTGAATAAATTGGAAGTAAGTCCATTAAATCTTGTCTCTAGAGTTATTATTCCCAATAATCACAATTTTTTAAAATGACCATCTTGAAAATCATGTTTCCTGGAGTCACCTCCAAATAGCAGTAAGCTACCCATCTCCTATTACAAAAAGAAAAATGAGACCAGCTTGTAAACACATTACCCAATAAAGTACCTTACAGTGCAAGCAGGGAGGCATTATTGCTCAATGGAAGTCAATTTAAAATAAGAGGTTACCGAGCTTTCTCAATAAGAGTAAAGGATCCCGGCCATAATTGTTCTGCAGTAACTTTGGAAAGGTGTACTTTTATTCAAACCGTGCTATGATTTTGGCTTCTCTCCTAGGGAGGAACTTTCATTTCAGTAACTAAGTTCATGAAAAGCCAAACTCTTTGCAGCTCTTCAGCTGGCAGCATTTTTTCCAGTTTCTACAATCTCATCACTGTGGTGTGTGTCTGTTTACTTAACGATTTTAAGCACAATTCTTCATGACCCATTTATTTTTGGATACTGTTCTTTTATTTTGATTGCATATCTTTCCCATAGGGTTACAGCAAGTTTGAAGGAAAATCAAACAATAAAACACTCACTCAATATCATAGGGGTATTTGCTTTCAAAAGTCAAACAGAATGAAAATCTATCTGGTTGGTTATTTTAGATGATTAGTGTTAATTTTTGCACCTGATGACCAAAAATCATTTTAGAATTTGATATAAGGAACTTTTGCACAGACATCTTACAACATGGAATATCTCTAAGTGTTAAGTTTTACATAAACATGAACATCTGGAAGAACTTGAGCCAACTTGGGAGCTATTATTTTACCCAGCCTCCTTCATCAAACAGAGCTCAGAACTCCCCTCCGTTAGCTTTAAGCTTTTCTCAATGAACTGAGTAATGGAATCTTGAGGGACACCTTTAAATCCAGCAGTAGAAGCAAAAACCTTCCCCACTGATAAGCAAAAGAATATTTCTGGCAACAAAACCCATCAACTATAGGCGGTATATATCTAACTCAGTCAGCCTTGAGTTAAACGTGAGTCAGTAACCCCTGAAGGCAACAACAAAGGCTTAGAGTGAAATAAAAAAGTTCGCAGACATACTGCAGAAGATCCAGTCTCAGAGAATGATCTGCTTAACACTTGGCCCTGAGATTATCTGAGAATTTCCTAAAACATTCAACACCTCACAGTGACCACAGTTAAAAATAATGTATTATAGGTTTCAAAATTGCTAAAAGAATAGATTTTTTAATGTTCTCGCTACAAAAAATGATAAGTTGGTGAGGTGATAGATATGTTAGTCAGCTCGACTGACTCTTTCTACAACATACACATAGATCAAAAACATCACGTTGTACTCGGTAAATATGTACAACTATTATTTGTCAGTTAAAAATAAATTAATTAATTTTTAAAAAACTTCAATACTTCCAAGATCTGGGAACAACTACGTGGTAAGCCCATTAATTTATAACTGGGACTGTAAACCAACAGAACGAATTCTTCCACTTAAAATCAGCCTTTGATTAATGGCATACCCATATATTACGTCTCCTATATGAGAACAACATATAATGTATGGTATTTATTATCACAAAATTTCTAGAAATAAAATAAGTCCAGTTCAGTAGGTATAATCCTGTTCTAAATCCCCATATGTCTATAATGCTGCCACATATATCTTCTTAAAACACTAGTTTCTTCATATCACCTACTGTCATTCTTATAACCCCAACTCTTGATAAGATAGTTTCCATCCATTGTCCAAACTTCATCATCTGCCTTTCATTTCTCAGTACACTAAGCTTGCTTCTACTGAAACGCACTATTCTACAGGTTTCTCTCTCCATTAGATTATAAGATATTTAAGAACAGAAAGACTGGCTTTTTTACAGCTTTCCAGTCCCTAGTGCTTCCTAGCACTGTTCCTGGAACATAGTTACCACAAAGCAAACATCTACTTCATGTTTCACATTGATATATACCCCACTAACGTCCAACACGTGTTATTTAAACAAATACTAGTCTCTAAATACTTGTACATCTGCTCAAAAATTTTATAAAATATGCTAGATCATTTCTATTGTGAAAAATTAGAAGCAAACTAAATATTCATGAAATAGAAATGAAAACAATTCTGGTACATCCTATTAATATATTTATATGCAGACATAAAAAAATCACATTCTTATGGAATATTTAACTACGTTGGAAAACCATATGATATATTAAGTGAATTAAGCAGCTTCCAAAACTATGTGTATGCTAAAATACTAAAATGTATTATTCTTAGTGGTTAAAAACCTAGGCTCTGGAGCCTGAATGCCTGGTTTAGAATTCCGGCTCCATTTTATAATGGCATTGTGACCCTGAACAAGTTAATGCATCTTGTTATTGCACCAATTTTCACATTTTTAAAATGGTCTAATAACAGTACTTATATTATAAAATTATTTTCAGGCATAAATGGATAATATTTAACATATAAGGTAATTGAAACATGGGTATGTACCAAGTGCTAGTAAATATTAGCTATCATTATATAGTTCTCAATAGGAATGTCTGTGCCAAACAGGTAACACTGGTTATTCCTGAATAGCAAAATTATAGGCAACTATTACCTTTATTGTGTTTTTCTGTATTCTACTTTTGGCAGTGAGTGTATATTATTTTGTATTATAAAAAATCAGGCTGGGTTTGGTGGCTCATGCCTGTAATCCCAGCACTTTGGAAGGCCAAGGCCAGAGGGGTGGTTGAGCCCAGAAGTTCAAGACCAGCCTGAGCAACGTAGTGAGACCTTGTCTCTACAAATAATTTCTTTTTTAAATCAGCCAGGCGTGGTGGCACGCACCTGTGGTCTGGGAGGGCAAGGCTGCAGTGAGCTGTGATTAAGCCAATGCACTTCAGCCTGGGTGGCAGAGTGAGACCCCGTCTCAAAAAAAAAAAAAAAAAAAAAAAAAAAACCACAACAGATTCCTCTTAAAATATGCAAAATATTTACTGAACATTACATTGGTAAGATGCATACATTGTTAATGGAACAATGCTGGGATACTAGATCGAAGAAGTATTGTCATCACGAGTAGCAAGCTGCCTGTAAAATAGTAGACATTGCTCTCTAAAAATGCTGTATTTCATTAGTGCTATGGGTTGAATATTTGTGTCCCTCCAAAATTCATATGTAGAAACATAATCCCCAATGCCACAGTATTAAGAGGTAGGGTTTTAAGAAGGTGATTAGGTCATATAAGCGGAGCCCTCATGAATGGGATTAGTGCCCTTATAAAAGAGGCCAAGGGAACTTGTTTGCCCTTCCAGTATGTGAGGGTAAAGGAAGAAGGCACCATCTGTGAAGCAGACAGAACCCTCACCAGACACCAAATCTGCCAACATTTTGATCTTGGATTTCCTGGGCTGCAGAAACAGTTCTGCAGCAATAAATCTTCGTTGTTTATAAATTACACAGTCTATGATATTTTTATTATAGCAGCCCAATTGAACTAAGACAATTAGGAGTAAGAAGTACGAAGAATTACCATCATTATATATGATGAGGTTAAAAATTATAGAAAAGATATTTCTACAGAAGAATTTTTAAGTGGTACAAGTTTAATACATATATAAATATACAAGTTTAGTATATATTTTATATATTCAAGTTTAAAAACTATATACATATATATTAAAATTTATCACATAAAAATACCTCTCTAGAAATATCCTTTCTATAATTTTTAACCTCATCATTTATTGGAATTTGTTATGGAGGGAGATCGTCCCCTGCTCCCTTAAAGTTTATAGAAATAGGTCAATGCCATCTTTCGGGGCTCTCCCAAGACTATTACAATAAAACGGGGTGTAGCAAGATAAATAAAACACACTTAGGCAAGGTGTGCTAGGATTTCCAACCACTTTAACTTGGCATGAGGACTATTAGTCTAACAGAATGAGATACTGAGAACACATCATCAGAAGCACTTAAGCATAAATGTTCTCTTTTTATAGTGGTGGGGGGAGGATAACGGGAGAAATGAGTAAAAATGTGGTTTCAGCTTCTAGTTTCACTAGGAACGGACAAATTAGAAAGTGAAATGTGAGACAATAGAAAGTTTGATGTAATTCAGCAGCACTGCAACCATCAATTATTATTTTAACATTTTTGGTAAAGCTTCCTTTTACATCCAAGAGGACCAAGTGAAATCACCATGTTCTTATATTTACCCATAGCATTTCTTTTTTATTTTTATGAGCTCCTTCTTTTGCTGAATGAATAACTATTTCAGCACACTAAAAAATTGTGCCTTAGATGTCTTTCTAACAGTGCCTGTATATGGTAAGTGCTCAATAATTGCTTGATAAATAATATGCATTCTGCAGTTGAGGCAAAAAAGAAATGACCCTTTTTTGGAATGAACCAAGAGAGACAGAACTGAAAAAGTGAGGAAGAAGGGAAAAATAATGAAGGAACAGAAGATGATGTCAGATAGGACTTTTATCAATGTAAGTAAATATAATTCCTATATATTAATGAATGTGATATGTTACATTCATATTAAAAGTTTATTAACAAAACATCACCACAATGAATATAGTTGAGATTTTCCTTGCTATGTGATAGGTACTGGTCTAAGTGATTTTTATTTGTTAATTTTCTCATCTCAGCAATCCTATGAGGTAGGTGCTATTATTAACTCTATTTTTCAGATGAAGAAACTAAGGAAAAAAGAGAGTCAGTGTATAAAAAAGACAGTACAAAAAAAGTGTATAAAAAGAGAGTCCTACAGTACAGTACTGAGAGAAAATGAAAGAGTTGGATTTCCAACCCAGAAAGTTTGGCTTTGAGTCTGTCCTTTTAACCAAAATATTCTTAAACATCTGTCTATATTGTCTCCATTTATATATACATTAACTGAATATTTTTTTAATGTCCCTTGAGTTAGAGAAATAATACTATTACCTATTCGACAGGAAGAAACATCAGACAGAAATGACGTGGCCTGATCACTCAGCTATTATATTGGCAGCAAAGCCTTTCTCTGGCATTACTTAATTCGTATTCTCACAGTAACAGCATTCTCCTATCCCTAATTCTCAGTGCTTTAGGCTATTTCCCAGGAACATGCTATATAGCTGGAAAGAGATATAAGTACAATTTGCCAGCATTAATAATAGGGATATTGCTCCTTGCATTTGCTACTTCTTTCTGTATCTGTCTACTTTTATTTTTTTTCTTATTCCCTAAACACTCTATCTCCATTGTGCTGATTTTTTGAAGATATTCATCTATCTTGATTTTCCTTACTTTTTATTTTCTTTTTGCCTTGGAGTAGTGTTTCCTTTTCTTTTCATCCTGGAATAGATTATTGTCATTTCAAGGCCTCCCTTGTGAGTACTTTTTTCTCCTTTTTATTGCCATTCTTCAGCATTTTTACTGGTACTTATAACAGTTCTCCTTTTCTTGCTGGCTTCTGGCGTGGGTTTGTTGCTATTTCTTGTTCTTTGATGTTTCGCATATCTGATTGTTCCCTTTCTCACCCCTGCTTTCTGCCACGTTTACCTCTTTGCTATTATTTGTTTCCTATTTTGAAGGTTGACAACTAAGGGGACAGTATCATTCCTTAATGTGTTTCTCCAGCTTACTCATGAAATCAGCAGCAGCCTCCTTCACACATAAAACCAGTCCGGGAGGGCAAAGTGACTCACGTCTGTAATCCCAGCACTCCGAGAGGCCGAGATGGGCGGATCACTTAAGGCCAGGAGTTTGAGACCAAAGCAGGCAACATAAGGAGACCCCATTTCTACAAAAATGAGCCAGATGTGGTGGCGCAACTGTAGTCCTAGCTACTGGGGAAGCTGAGGTGGGAGGATCGCCGGAATACAGGAGTTCCAGGCTGCAGTGAGTTACGATGGTGCCACTGAAGCCTGGGAGACAGAGCGAGACCCCTGATATAGTTTGAATATTTGTCCCTGCCATAATCTCATATTGAAATGTAATCCCCAATGTTTGTTTGTTTGTTTTTGAGACGGAATTTCACTCTTGTCACCCAGGCTGGAGTGCAGTGGAACGATCTCAGCTCACTGCAACGTCTGTCTCCCAAGTAGCTGAGATTACAGGCACCTGCCATCACGCCCGGTTAAGTTATTCCCAGTGTTGAAGGTGGGGCCTGGTGGGAGGTGATCGGAGCATGCGGGTGGATTTCTCACGAGTGGTTTATCATCATCCCATTGGTGCTGTCTTCAGATGGTGAGTGTATTCTCATGAGATACGGTTGCTTAAAAGTGTTTGACACCTCCCACTCTCTCTCTCATGTTCCTGCCCTGGCCACATGACATGCTTGCTCCCCCTTCATTTCCACCATGATTTTGAGCTTCCTGAGGCTTTCCCAGAAGCCGAGAAGATGCCAGCATTATGCTTCCTGTACAGCCTATGGAACTTTGAGCCAATTACTCTTTTCTTTAAAAATTACCTCATCTTGCGTATTTCTTTATGGCAGTGTGAGAATTGACTAATACAGCCCCATCGCTAAAAAAAAAAAAAAAAAAAAAAAAAAAATGTCTAATCAAAGTTGGAAAGTGAACATTAGGGAAATACATATTTTGTATAAATAAATCCTTTGGACTCCCAGCTTCTTCCTTTGCCGATCAGCTTTAAGGGACAGTGGTTCTGTTTGACTTTTGAAAGGACAGAACAAGATCCTTATATATCACATTTCTGCTATCAATAGTTAAGAGTTTTTGCTATAAATTGAAAGTATCATGGACACATTCTTTAGTCAGCAGTCACTCCCTGTCATTAATTAGGTGTTGGAATGATGTTCTGAAATGCTGTTTAATTTCTATGAATTTCAAGTGGGATTGCCCAGCAAGTACATTGCCAGCATATGTAGTAAGTAGGTAATTTTCTTTTAAGATTATGAATGTTATTCTCAAAATTTTAGGTTGTTTTTATAAGGGACAGTGTACAGTTTGGGCTTTTGTGTTAATTGGAGGTTGACAAGGGAAAAAGGGATAGTTTTCCAGCATGCTTTCTAGGTTTTTCTAAATAGTACAAAGATGTTCAGGAGGAAGAAAATATTGCTATTTTAAATGGAATATTTTCAACGCTAACTTAAGCATATCTCAGTATTTAAGCAGACATTTGGATATTTTCCTCATCTCAGACAATAACTACTATGACCTTGAACAAATCCCTCCATTTTCTGATTCTCAGTTTTCTCATCTATAAAATATGGGAATTGGACTAAATAACTTTGTTTCCATTTAGCTTTAGCACTCTATGACTTTTATCCATTTACTTACACAACACTACTCCTGAGAAACATACATTTATGCAATTATAGGGATAAACACCCAGGACTTCATTTAATAGATTTTCCTTATACCACCACTGTACTGTACTGGTAACAGACACTTTCCCCTGTATAAGTAAGCTATCCTGCAGATGCTAATGGGGTGACCCCAAAAGGCCAACAGAAATTAAAGAAACTTGGCAAAAATAAACAAACAAAAAACTAGCCGTGGCATACAGATTAAGTATATTTACACCAAGTTATGATTTTTTTAGTGACTTCCCCATTTAAAGTTACTGATATATACGTGTGTGTATATATATACAATATACAAAATCATCAGTATATTTTCCCCTAGATAATAATTGTTAAGTATAATTCAATAATTGTTACATGCTGTATACATTTTAAGTGATATAAATCTTTCCAACAAACCTAAAATGTAAGTAGTTCTTTTCCTAATTTCCAAAATTAAGAGAGGCAGAGTTAAGCAACTTGCCTAAGGTCACAGTCATTAAATAGCAGCACTGAGATTCGAACTCAGCAAACAGCCTGGCTCCAGAACCCATGCGTCTGATAACTGCTTCTTATAATATGGTTGTGTTCATCCATTTTCTTGTTCATCTATTGTGAGGTTGCCAGCGTGATTTCTTCAAAGGCCTGCTGGAGTCAGGAATATGTCCCTAGGTCACAGAGCTCAGCAAATTTTAGTAGCCTAAAACTTGACTCAATTCTCCTGAGCGGTACTCTCAGTGTGACCTCGCTACTGGTCAAAAGTTGTAAACGAGCAGTTACATATTTTTTGCTGCTCTCACCAATACATGTCTTGCTATGTATGGCCAAACGGGTTGACTTGTGCACTCAAAATGCAAAAAAGTACTATAAATATAGAGTAGAAATGGAAATTGGCGACATAATATGACAATTTAAAAATTTAAAATATCTGATTTTCACAAGTCTTAAGAGCCTCAGTGATATTCAGTATGATTGGAGAGTTTGAATTGTGTAAACTTTATTAAGAGACTAGCTAGAAACTCAGCAGAGTTTTCATGGATTGCATGACACTACTTTCATTTTCTTTGCAGTCATCACACAAGTAAAATTTTATAGGTTCAACACACTCCACATACACCTAATTGCTCTCTAGGGTAGTAAAACAACCAAGCAGTGAATCCACAAAAACAGTTCAGTGAGTTTCATTTAAACCATGCATACACTACCAAAAAGTGACTCACAGCAGAGGAAATTAATTTACTCGCCATGAAAACACAATTCTTAATGATCCCAACACTATGACAGTACCTAAAATTTCTTGTGTGTATATATTTGGACACACATGTCCACACATTTTATAGCAAGAACATAAACATTTCAAACTGAAATGCCTAAGCAACCCTTAAAGATAGCTTTTGTCAAGCTAAAATCTGGTGAGAAAATGAAAGTTAAGGCTTTTATTTTATTTTATTTTTTGAGATGGAGTTTCACTCTTGTTGCCCAGGCTGGAGTGCAATGGCACAATCTCCGCTCACTGCAACCTCCGCCTCCCAGCTTCAAGCAGTTCTCCTGTCTCAGCCTCCCAAGTAGCTGGGATTACAGGCATGTGCCACCATGCTCGGCTAATTTTGCGTTTTTAGTAGAGAAAGGGTTTCACCATGTTGATCAGGCTGGTCTGGAACTCCTGACCTCAGGTGATCCACCCGCCTTGGCCTCCCAAAGTACTGGGATTACAGGCGTGAGCCGCTGTGCCCGGCGAGGCTTTTAAATTGGTGAAAATGCCAACCATTCAATTTTTACTTTGAATAATCAAAACTGAAGTGATTCAAGTAGTGATTCATCATCCAGTGTAATCTAGCACAGCAATGGAGATTTTGTGTGAAACATACCAAAGGAAAGGTTTGGGGTTTTTAATTGCGTAATTGACTAATTCTTGGGCACCTCCTTCCCTCAATCAAAGATACATCATCTGAATAGTTCACAGCCTCCCCCGAATAAATGAAAGTGACAGGCTCTGTATTTCTTAATTTGACGCCTTTCAAAGATAAGGTTAATGGAATTAAGTAACCATAAAGATTATTGTAAATTAAATGTTATATCCTTAGATGTCTGAGTTAATTTAATGCATTTCAATAAATATGAGGTTAGGAAACATAAAAAGGAAAATTTATGGTACTAATTTAAATGGTACCTTTCCACATCTCTTGTGCGTGCTAAAGCATAGGCTTTTATGTTTGTCAACTCACAAATATTGTTGCAGGGAAGAGATAGAGGTCCCAAGTTGTCTTAAGAATATGGAGTCAGATGTTCAGTATGATTTTAGGAACAGCCATATGAAATGAAATAGTCATAGCTATGAACTATTGTTAAACATCAATAGAGGGAGGGTACATAAATAGAAGTTAATCACAAGTAAAATAACCTAACAGTGATTATTTTTATTATCATAATCATCAAGGTTAGATTTACAGAGCAAAACAAATGCTTTTCTATGTTGGTTTAGTGAGTATTTTCACAGCTATATGTATTTTAGTTTTTCTTTAAATTTTTATATATATTAACTAGAACATAATACAAACTTCACTTTGGTACTAGAATTACATTTTTAAAACCATTAACGTTATAATTTTTACAAGGAGAAAGGTAATGTTTTGTGATGATTATTATATTATTATCAATATTGGTTATCTCAGAAACTGTGCTTAATACTTTTCTCATGGCAACTTATGAAGTCTTTATTATAATCATTTTATTTATAAGGCAATTGAGTCTTAGAAAGGTTAAATAGATAGTATAAGGTCATCCTTCTAGAAAATGAGTGACAAATTTAAACTTAGATGATTTCTAAGCTTATTCTTTTGACTGTAGCATTATATTATGTTCCTGTAGTTACAGAATAATATAACACAGTGTCCAAAAACTAGAAATCATTTTATTCCCTTATTTAGGGTAGAGGGCTGATAATAACCTTGGCAATAAAAAAACCCAAAACCTACTGTCACAGTTCTTACTGTTGATGGTTTTAATAAAAGAAAAAATGTCTTTGAGGTTTTCCTTTTATGTGGCATCTGGTATTTGCCTATATCCATGATCTATTTACAGCCTCTTTGAAAATTAACCGAATGATATTAATAGATAGTTTATTTTATATAGCGTTAACTCCTCCTAACTTTGTACACATTTCTCTGCATAATTTGAAGAATAAGAACAGAGGAAATCAACACCGATAATACAGGGAAAAAAATACAGTTTTTTTTAAACCAAGCAAGAAAATGCAATCTGATGCCAAAACAAATAAATATGAAGACCAGAGAAAAATCTGATATCCAAAGACTGGAATCTAAAGTAAATGATGAAGATATTAGCAATCTGTTTTCTGTTAAATGGATTCCTCTTTGTTACCTTTGCACACAGCATACATTCAAAATATTAGAAAAAAATCAAGTTTCAACTGTGGTTTGCTTTATTGGCAGTAATGTGAAGGATCAAGTACTCAAATAATTTAAGCAAATTTTAGAAATAAGAGGTTGTCTAATCAAAACACAACCTAGAAAGACAAATATTGCATGTTCTCACGCGTATGTGGGAGCTAAAAAATTGATCTCATGGAGGTAGAAAGTGGAATGATTGTTACCAGAGGCTGGGAAGGGTAGTGGGGAGGGGGTGATGAAGAGGGGCTTGTTTAATGAGTATAAAAATACAGTTAGCTAGTAGGAATAAAATCTAGTGTTCTGTACCACAATAGGGTGATTATAGTTAACAATAATTAATTGTTTATTTCAAATTAACTGGAGGAGTAGACTTGGAATGTTCCCAACACAAATAAATGATAAATGTTTGAGGTAATGAATATTCCAATTATCCTGATTTGATTATTACAGATTGTATGCCTGTATCAAAATATCACATGTATTTCATAAATATGTACAACTCTTACGTACCCACAATAATTAAAAAGAAGAAAGAAAAACAAAACATATCACAAAGGATGACGTAGCTTGATTGATGAATTAATAGTGTATGCAACTAAGATGATTGGAGAGTGTAGACCTTAGTCCATGAAAGGAAAATCAGAGTTTTCACAGAGAGCAAAAGGGTGATTCTATCTTGTCTTTGGATTTCTCTCCAGCCATAGATGCACACGCTCGCTACCTTTGCATACCTTACTCCACCATCTAAAAAGTTTCCTTTTATTTCAATACCACTGGAAAACCCACCATTTCCTTCATCATAGATTAAGAAAGAGTGGGTTTTTCTGAAGTTCCAACTACCATTGTTAATGCTTTCAATCTATTGTCTATTTTCCATGCTTATGATTGTGTCAGCCCATGTGTAACTAACTCTTACCAAGTTGAAATACGTTCACTAAGGTTCTTTTTTGCATAAGACCTGTATAGAATAGCTATATATTGAGGAATTAATAGAACAGCAATATTTTTTATATACCAACCACGAGTGAGATACTATACTAGGTGTTATTCATGTATTTTTGTAACTTCACAATAATCCTCCATGTTAGTTATTTCATATATGAGAAAACATGGGAAGGCTCCTTCCAGGCTATCTTGCTAACTATAACCCTAGCATTTCTAAACACAAAATATAAGAAATTCAGTGTCTTAGCACTGGCTATTCTTTCCTTCTGGAAGGTTCTTCCTCAGTTTTTACATGACTGGTTCCTCTAGACAGTCATATCTCAGCT
Organism: Homo sapiens; assembly: GCF_000001405.40. Classification (NCBI taxonomy): domain Eukaryota; kingdom Metazoa; phylum Chordata; class Mammalia; order Primates; family Hominidae; genus Homo; species Homo sapiens. The sequence goes on from NC_000023.11 coordinate 33,145,329, forward strand.
GACATGCCTCTTCAGCAAAGATTCTCTTTACTACTGAAGCTGGAATAACTACCCAATCACTCACTATCTCAACTCAGTTTGTTCTCAATGCAACACTTTTATCTGATATGTTTCTTGTTTATTTATCACAAGAGACATAATTTCTTTTTCAGAAATGTAGGCTCTGTGGGAGCAGGGAAATATATATAAGATCCAATTACAACTCAACAATAGATAAGTCACTTCCATCATTGAAGATCTGAGTTTCATCATCTATAAAGTAAGATAATATTTATCAGATATGGTTATCATATAATGTATTTATATAATACTAAATATATATATATATACAGTAATGTCCAGTAGAAAGTATGCTGAACAATTAGTGTTCTGTAAACAAATTTTTTAAGTGCACTATTCTGAAATATACCGGTCTCTCATCCTTCTCATTTTATTTTTTAAAATCATTTTATTGAGCTATAACTCACACACCACAAAATTCACTCTTTTAAAGTGCACAATTCAGTGATATATAGTATATTCACATAGTTATGCAACTGTCACCACTTTCTTTTTTCCTTTATTTATTTATTTTTTTGAGACAGAGTCTCGCTCTGTCGCCAGGCTGGAGTGCAGCGGCGCGATCTTGGCTCACTGCAACCTCCACCTCCTGGGTTCAAGCAATTCTCCTGCCTCAGTCTCCCGAGCAGCTAGGACTACAGGTGCGCACTACCACACCCAGCTCATTTTTTTTAAATATATATTTTCAGTAGAGACGGGATTTCACCATATTGGCCAGGATGGTCTTGATCTCCTAACCTCGTGATCCACCTGCCTTGGCCTCCCAAAGTGCTGGGATTACAGGTGTGAGCCACTGCGCCTGGCCAACTGTTACCACTTTCTAATATAAAACATTTTCGTCAGCCCAAAAAAGAAACCCCATACTCATTAGGAATCACTCTCCTTTCTCCACGTCCCCAGGCCCTACTAATCTACTTTCTGTCTGTATTGATTAGACTATTCTGAAAACTTTATGTAAATCTCATAATTTAAAAAATTTCATAATTTTTAAATTTTTATAAGTTGAAGGTATTAACAAGTTAATAATAAAATACTTCTTGAGAGCTAACTCAGGGTTAGCTGCTTTATATTTCTTCATGCTTTAGCTCATATAATCATTATAACAGAGAAGGTAGTTTCTATTACAATCTTTCTACAGATGCAAATGGAAAAACTGAGGCACACGAGTTTAAGAAACTCCCAGAACTACACAGTTAAAAAATGTAGAAGTCAGGATTCCAAGTCGGGCTTTTCAGTCTTCCTGTGTTTGCCAGCTCTCACCTGAGTATTGTGTTACTAGTAGAGGGACGTGCTCACAGTCGCCCCTATGAGGGGTATTTGGATGCAGATAATTAACATCATTTCAATCCACAAAAATAGGCTTAGTCCTCAATAAGTAAGGAATCAAGGTGAGGGCACTGCAGAGTTAGTATTTTGTTGAAGACAAATTAATAAATCTTTTTTTTTTCTTTTTGAGACGAGTCTTGCTCTGTCACCCAGGCTGCAGTGCAGTGGCTCAATCTCTGCTCACTGCAACCTCCGCCTCCCAGGTTCAAGCGATTCTCCTGCCTCAGCCTCCCGAGTAGCTGGGACTACAGGTGTGTGCTACTACACCTGGCTAATTTTTTTATTTTTTAGTAGAGACGGGGTTTCACCGTGTCAGCCAGGATGGTCTCGACATCCTGACCTTGTGATCCACCCGCCTCAGCCTCCCAAAGTGCTGGGATTACAGGCGTGAACCACCGCCGCTGGCCAATAAATCTTAAAATATTCTTCCTGCTCTCCTTTCTTTTGTCTGTTATTTCCCTGGATATCTACTGTGAAATACTGTGGTCTCACATACAAACCAGGAAAAATGAGAGGGAGGTGCATTTTATCTCAAATACAGAACTTCTAATAAAACAGAGTTATTTTAAATGTATAGGGGGATCAAAATACATAAACATAAACACTTGATTATTTGATTTAGCATTACATTCATTGTATTCATTGCATGCATTTTATTCTGCTGGCAATCAAAATTAGTTCCAGAAGAAGGTCCGGAATGGCAGTTGACACATTCCCCTGCTCAATAGCCCTGATATTTATAATTATGATTTGAATACATTTTACTGGGCTAGTAAATATTAAAGCAAATTTTTAGAAATGATGAAAAAATTAATTTAAGCATTTTTTGTCTCTAAATTTACAAACAACAAACATGCAATTTTCTAAGTAGAATAACACACACCAGGGAGTAATGATATTTGAAATGACTGTGAATTTTGGTCTCTGGATGTTCTTGGCTTTTGGTCATATGATTCACTACACCTTCTAGGCATGTAATTATCTCTTAACACCTCACATCCTGTCATACAGTATGCCATTCCTTAAATGAGAATTGGTCTCGAGTATCATTGTATATTTAGATCTTAATAATTTTAATAGAAACATCAACCAGTAATTTCTGAAGGGCAAAATATATAAATTTTATCACTTAAAATATATCTTTTCTTTAATAAAATCTAGCTCTTAAAATTCTATTCAGACCTAGAATGATCCTTTAAGATCATTTAACTCCTATAATTAAATTGCAAAATTTGAAATATGTTCAACTTAAAATTCAACCTAAAACTCAAAGCTGTATTTTAAAGTTCATGTTGCACTTGTTTTACTGCATCTGCCAGAGAATGCACCACAAAATCCTTTATAGATATTCAGATGAATCTCTCTACCAGAAATGAAGAAGGAACGCTGCTAATCTTGGGCTTTCATTGGTTTGATTACCATTTCAACTCTAAATGGCTGCATGATAATTAGTGGGTGTGGAATAACCAGTACTGCTCAAGAAGCAATTGCCTTTACTGAAAAACAAAGTTTCGAAAGAAGCACAGTAAACTCCAAGAGACAATCAATTCAATCTTACACACCTCCCTGCCATAGTTTTAAATGGAGCAGATGTGCTAAAAGCCAGTGAGAAGACGGTTGATATTTCTTAGGGTTCAAACAGAAATAGAATATCCAGCACTTGACTGCCCATATTTTTCACAATGATTTATTGCAGTAAATAGTCTACACGAGCGTCCCAGTTTTGGACTTTTTCCCTATCAGTCAGGTTTTTAAAGCCTTAAAGTAGAGTTAAATTAAATAAAAGAAGGGATGGCTTTTATCTAAAAGTTAGAGAACGAACAAGAATGTTTTCTAGATATTAAAGTAAATTCATTTATAATTATGCCATATTCAGATGGATGCCATTCCTATATATTAAATGTTCATGATTTTAAAGGTCATTGGACAAAAACACTATGAATAATAAAAAATTAGAAAAAATGTGAAAAATAATGAATGGAATTATAGTAGAATCTATTTTAATGGATCTCCATTTAACTGAATCATTAGATTAACCAAAGCTCTCCATTCCCTTTGTTAGATTTACTATGGATCAAGATGACCTGCTGAAAAACCTTAACTAGAAATCTCTCTATGAGAGATAAATCGTATGCTTTGGCGGATTAAAGATAGCTGCGAATTTTTTTGACATTTCTTCACTGGGGAGGTAAAGTCTTTGTTTCCTCCCTTGAATTTGGGTGGGTTCTGTGGCTGCTCTAATAGAATGCAGTAGAATAGTGGTCCCCAGCCTTTTTGGCACCAGAGACTGGGGTTTGATGGATGACAATTTTCCCACAGACTGGGGTTAGTGGGGGGGAGGTGAGGGATAGTGTTAAGATAATTGGAGACTATTTCATTTATCATGCACTTTATTTCTATTATTATTATTACATTGTATTATATAATAAAATAATTATGTAACTCACCATATCATAGAATCAGTGGGAGCCCTGAGCTTTCTTTCCTGCAACTAGACGGTCCCATCTGGGCATGACGGGAGACAGTGACACATCATCAGTCACTAGATTGCCTGATACTCCTCATAAAGAGTATGCGACCTAGATCTCTCACATGTGCAGTTCACAATAGGGTTGTGCTCCTGAGACTCTAAAGCCATTGCTGATCTGACAGGAGGCAGGGTTCAGGCAGTAATGCCAGCAATGGGAAGTGGCTGTAAATACAGATGAAGCTTCACTGGCTCACCGCTCGCCTCCTGCTGTGCAGCTGGGTTCCTCACAGGCCACAGATGGGTACCGGTGTGTGGCCCAGGGGTTGGGGACCCCTGCAGTGAAAGAGCTGCTGTTCTAGTTTCCAGGGTTAGGCCTGAAGATACCAGAAACTTATATTTTCCGTCTTTTGTATCATTCACTCTAGAACCCTGAGCTCCCATGTGATAAGTTCAACAATCCTGGGTCTACCATGCTGAAGAGGCCACATGTAGGTACTAGAGTCAATAGATCTAGTTGACCCAAGTCTCCCTGTCGTCTCCACCAAAGCAACATACATATGAGTACAGCTGTCTTGGATTCTGCTGACCAGCTCATCTGCCAGCTGAGTATCATTTAGGGATCAAGTTGATACCACATAGAGTGGAAAATCACCCAGTTGACCCACGCTCAAATTTATGACCCACAAAATCATGAGCTATAAAAAGTGACTGGTGTTTTAAGCTATTAAGTTTTATAATAAATTGTTACTCAGCAATAGATAACCGGAACATAGCAAGAATCAACTGTGATTGTTCCCATTCCTGCTCATGTAATGATCTAATATAATTATATACTACATAATTTGATGATACATGACTATAAAATAAAGAGATGCGTTCTTTCTAAAAAATACAAATTATCAGTAAAAATTAGCTGAAGAATAAACAGGCCTTTGGGAGAGGGATATTAGAAAAGTATTGAAGGAATCCCCTCTTAAATTGTTTTGCAAATGTCTCTGTGTTCTTTCTCTACTGCACAGAAACGAAAACGTACAAGTCTCTAATCTGTACCACCAAATCCTCTTGATTTTATGATCTCTTACTACTTTCTTCCTTATAAAAGTCAGTCTTTTTTTTTTTTTTTTTTTTGAGAGGGAGTCTCACTCTGTTGCCCAGGCTGGAGTGCAGTGGCGTGATCTCGGCTCACTGCAACCTCTGCCTTCAGTTTCAAGGGATTCTCCTGCCTCAGCCTCCTGAGTAGCTGGGATTACAGATGTGCACCACCACGCCCGGCTAATCTTTGTATGTTTAGTAGAGTTGGGGTTTCGCCATACTGGCCAGGTTGGTCTCGAACTCCTGACCTCAAGTGATCCGCCCGCCTCGGCCTCCCAAAAATGCTGGGATTACAGGTGGGAGCCACTGCGCCTGGCCAGTAGTCACAGTCTTAATTGCTATTCCTTGAACACACTCTCACCTGAGAGCCTTTTTTCCACTCATTCCCTTAACCTGGAACAATCTTCTCTATCTAGTTGGCTTCTTGTCTCGTTCTGATTTAACCTGCTCAGTGCAACTCATCATAACACATTATTTCATGCTCTTTTCCAGGCCCTAGTATTCCTGATTTCCCTTGCCCTACTACTTTTATTTTCCTTAGCACTTATATTTCACTAACACACAACATAACTTATTAACCTACCAAATTACTGTCCTGATTGTGGGAAATCAGAGGGCTTTTACCCTGAAGCAAACCACAACAGAGAAATAGACTATTTTGAAGCAAAGGTTTAGGAGATCACATATAGCTGTGAACAAAATATCAACATTTTAAAACTATATACCAGACTATTAAGAAGAACTCAAGGTTTTCAACAAGGGCAGTGATAAGGAGAGGTCAGCATGCTTTGCTATGTTATGCTGCCCTCTGGCATGGAGTTCAAATAGGCCAAGATAAAGCCCTGTTCATGTATTTTTGAATGGATAAACAAAGTCCCTCTAGATGAGTACAGCGTTTGATTTTTAACTACACTATTTCAGGTAACCCAAAGCTTTTCTTGTCTGAAACATATAAGTTATGACAGGTCTCTGGAACAAGTTATATCTAAATGCCAGAGTCAGGTAGTATAAGGCAAAAAGTATACAATCCATTTTTACTTGTGTCACCAAACATCTCTTACATTTTAGCTGCTGACTTTTCACTAATGTATTAATACAGAATATTATTTCTGCTTTTCTTCAATTTAACTAAAGAACTGAATACTTACATTTAGTATCAAATTTCTATAATGTGTCTTCTTTTAAAAATACAAAGGTAATTGAAAATATCAATTAAATCTGAATAGTGACTAGATTTTATTTAGATATGAGAGATACATAAATACTATGGATACAAATCATGGTCTCTGCCTTCAGGCAGCTGATGGCCCTGTGAACTTGTATGTGAAGCCTGTCTGGGGTCAAATTCTAGCTCTGCCACTTACTTGTAGTCTTAGGTAAGTTACTCAATTTTTTCTGATCTCCAATTTCATTGCCTATAAAAGAGAATTGGTGTATATGCCAATCATACCTCAATAAAGCAGTTTAAAAAACTGAAGAATCAATTATTTCTGAAGAAAAAAAAGAATTGGTAAGAACTCCTTTATAGTGTGTGATAATTAAATAACAAAAACTAGAACAAAGTGGCAGGCATGGGACATGGTCCATATTCAGAGCTAAAAGTTTTCTCTCACTATTTTTATTTTCCTAAAATGAACTAGTATTTCTAGAAGATACAATGAGAATAAAACCAATTGAAAATATTTTCTTTTAATAACAGTGCTTTAAAATTAGCAAAAAAATTAAAATAGAATTTTGAAAAAAGTAATCAAATAGATTTGCTGTACTACTGACTGTATGTTCTTTACATTTGTATGTTTTGTTTTTATATTTTGGTATTTTTAAGTATTATTAGTAGGTGTTCTTAAACATTTAGGTAAGATATTGTATAGTTATTAGCTTTACTATTATTATTATTATTATTATTATTATTAGATAGAGTCTCCCTCTGTCGCCCAGGATGGAGTGCAGTGGCCCAATCTTGGCTCACTGCAACCTCTGCCTCCCAGGTTCAAGTGATTCTCCTGCCTCAGCCTCCCAGGTAGCTGGGATTACAGGGACCCACCACCAAGACTGGCTAATTTTTTTTTGTATTTTTAGTAGAGAAGGGGTTTCACCTTGTTGGCCAGGCTGGTCTTGAACCCTTCACCTGAGGTAATCTGCCTGCCTTGGCCTCCCAAAATGCTGGGATTACAAGTGTGAGCCACTGTACCTGGCCAGCTTTCCTATTTTTCTAATGAGAAAATAGTAGCTTGTTGAGAGCCACACACGGAGTTTGTGATTTTTTTTTTTCTTCAGGATACGTTGCATTTATATTGTATATCAGCGTGTATTAAAGTGTGTGGAAGCCCTCTGGAGATTTTTACATGTGGAATATACTAGTTACTTAGTAATTCTCTGTAGGCAAGCGGCTAAGTTCACGTATGGAAAACCATTAAGACCCATTGCTGTAACACAGACAAGGGTATTACTGTTAAGTGTATTGCCATTTTATGGTCATTCCAAACGAGAAAAGCTGCTTCATTCCAGGAATCATATTGCTATTATAATTCACCAGAAAACCTACACTTTCTTTTCCTCCAATAGACAGTCACTTAAAGCAAATGTACAAAAAAAATACAATGGAATATGGTTTAGGAATTAATGAAAATTTAAAAAGCAGCAATCCCATTGAGAAGACAGAAGGCAATACATTTTAAAAACTGAGCATTATGCAAGGGAAAATTTGAGCAGTTTTCAAGTTAGTTCTGTATTGTTCTCATTAACAAATGTAGATGGTGCAGCATTTACTACAGACAATTGATTCAGACTTAAACTTTTGGGCTACAAATCATTTATATTTCAGAGAAAAAATATGTGGTCAAAAACAACTAGGCAGGGGGCGTTGGCTCACGCCTGTAATCCCAGAACTTTGGGAGGCCGAGGCAGGCGGATCACCTAAGGTTGGGAGTTTAAGACCAGCCTGACCAACATGGAGAAACCCCGTTTCTATTAAAAATACAAAGTTAGCCGGGCATGGTAGTGCATTGCCTATAATCCCAGCTACTTGGGAGGCTGAGGCAGGAGAATCACTTGAACCCAGGAGGTGGAGGTTGCGGAGAGCCGAGATCGTGCCATTGCACTCCAGCCTGGGCAACAAGAGTGAAACTCGGTCTCAAAACAAACAAACAAACAAAACAAAACAAAACTGTATTTCCCACAAGAGACATTAAACTATTTTTGTTTTTATTTACTACCTTAATGTTACGCAATTTTTCAAAAGAAAATATAATACTGTAGACGTAAAAAATTTAAAACGTATGAAAACTGGGATATATCAATTATCTTAAAGAAGATATTCCTGAAACATACTTAAGATTTAATATTGAAATATATAATTGTTTAAAAATACATTAAATATTGTTTAAAGAAATTCTGTTAAAAGCTGTGGGGCACATTATGAAGGCAATACTCACTTCTTTACCTTTGTTATAAAATTAATTTTGTCCATCAATTTTTCATCAATCAAGGTTTATCTATACACTTGAAAATTCAAATCCACAGGGATCTTGAAAAGATAGCATAGATAGTATCTTTCTCTTTTAATAGATGAAAAACAACTGCAGAAAGGCACAGACATCTTCAGTACTAAATAAGTCATACGATACAATATGTCTAATTGATATAAAGAAAAGGTAATCTTGCCATACTGCTCCTTCTGGCTAGTTTATTTCTAAAGCTATATCCAAGAATCTTGCTAAAAATATCAGCTGTGTTATTTTCATTCAATCTATTTCTTTCAAACATTCTATTTTTCAAAATTAGGTTTCATTTGAGCATCAGTAACTTTAGAAGAAAAAATAATACTTAAAAAGGCCCTGGCCAGGCACGGTGGCTCATGCCTGTAATCCCAGCACTTTGGGAGGCCGAGGCAGGCAGATCATTTGAGGTCAGGAGATGGAGACCAGCCTGATCAACACAGTGAAACCCTGTCTCTACTAAAAATACAAAAATTAGCCAGGCGTGGTGGTGGGCGCCTGTAATCCCAGCTACTTAGGAGGCTGAGGCAGGAGAATTGCTTGAGCCCAGGAGGCGGAAGTTGCAGTGAGCAGAGACTGCACCATTGCACTCCAGCCTGGGCAGCAAAACGAGCACTAAGAAAAAAATTAGTAGTAATATGCAAAGTCAGGTCTCAGAGCTCCTGTTTCTTCTAAATTAGGTGTATCTCCTCAGTCTTTGAATTTAGTCTAAATTGGTTTATAAATAATAATCCTGAATCTTTCTAGCTCCCTGCCACAAAGATGGATATTTAGATATACTATGGAATATTTCACTATTCCTGTTTTATTTCTAGATTAAAAATCACCAAAACAAGGAGACAGAAATTTTATATCTTCCCTGACCCTAATTTTTCCCCTTGAAATCTTGCTATCAATTATACTGACCTTTGGTTGTAGGCATTTCTTTATATTTGTGTTTTTTTGTTGCTTTCTACATAAACTCTATTCATGGGGTCTTTTGCCAACTCATTATATTATCCTTTCAGAATATGGTCAAAGGCAAGCCCATTTTACAATCCAATTGTCATTTCTAAGAGGATATTGGAATTACTCATGTACAGAGTAAAAGGTTATTTTCCTCACCTCCTACTTAGCAAAAGAAAGTGAAAACAATGACATTCTTATTTTTAGTGATTTAATTACATTTTCTTATCCATGTGATTTTCTTCATCTAATTTAACAAAATTATCAGAGACATGGTCTGATTACATATCATCTTTCTTATTCCAGAAGTACAAGACAAAACTAACCTTGATTTCTGCTTATAATCTTACATTCTCCCCATGGATTCACACAGCTCTACCCTGATTTGTGGCTAATAACAACAATTTTAATTTTCCTATTCTTTTAATGAAAGTAATATTCCTCTCTTCTTCTCTGAAAAATGAATGCCTTTATGATTTGGGAGGGAAAAATTCTCCTTTGGTGTTTTCCTTCCCCTTCAGTTGACCCACACTATTAATAATCTTCACAATATCAATCATTGTTGCAGCTTAGACATAGACAATGTTTATGAGCCTTTCTCTTTTTTTTTTTTTTTAGACAGAGTCTTGCTCTGTCACCCAGGCTGGAGTGCAGTGGCTCAATCTCAGCTCACTGCAACCTCCGCCTCCCAGATTCAAGCGATTCTCCTGCCTTGGCCTCCTGAGTAGCTGGAACTACAGGTGCCCGCCACCACACCCAGCTAATTTTTGTATTTTTAATAGAGATGGGGTTTCACCATGTTGGCCAGGCTGGTCTTGAACCCCTGACCTCAGGTGATCCACCTGCTTTGGCCTCCCAAAGTGCTGGGATTGCAGGTTTGAACCACTGCACCCAGCCAGCATTTCAAATCCAGATGCTACCACAGGAGGCTCTGGGCCTTAAAGAAATGCAGCCAGCTAGCCGGGCATGGTGGCTCGTATCTGTACTCCTAGCATTTTGGAAGGCCAAGGTGGGAAGATCACTTGAGGCCCAGAGTTTGAGACCAGCCTGGGCAACACAGGGAGATGCCATCTCTACAAAGAAAAAAAAAAAAATTAACCAGGCATGGGCTGAAACAGGAGGATCACTTTAGCCCAGGAGTTTGAGGCTTCAGTGAGCAGATCGCGCCACCACGCTTCAGCCCAAGTGACAGAGCAAGACCTCATTTCTAAAAAATAAATAAATGAATAAGAAAGAAATGCAGCCACTTGGAACCAATGCTGTTTTTCAGATCTTTGAGCCTCTCAGTAACATTAATTAAGAACCCTGGTAAATAAATATACTAACCAGTGGCAAGAATAATTGACTGCAAATGGCTGAATGTTTTATTATTTTCACTTTTTTTAAATAGAAGTTTTTGACAACATAAAGGCCTTACCCAAAGGAATAACAATAATAATGAAAAGAGCAAGCATCCATTGTGTTCACAAAATCACAGAATACATGTACATCAAATGAAAAATAATCCTTTTTCATCTCTGAGAATACTCCAAAACTTGTCCATCTGAGTATCAATGGAAAATCTTGCTCTTTATTAAAAGGAATTCTTCACTAATGTTCAGAAAAGCTGAGGAATGTACTTACATCACTACCGTCACTACTAGAGTATGCACTGGTGGCTAAAATGTCCTAACAACTTCTTCAGGGCTCAAATATTTTAGGGCTTTGAATTCAAAGATGTGTAAAATAGAGTCTCTGTCTTCAAGGACTTTATAACTTCTATGCATATGGTATGTGCTAGCGTGGATGATGGAAGAGTTACATTTAACCTTCACCATGGCAGGAAGATTTATTGGGGGAGATAAAACTTTGAAGATAAGCAAGAGAGCCAGATTAAAAATAAAACAAAGTAGAAGGAGGAAAGAATGGGTGTTTCAAGAAAAACAAATATAATGTGCTCTTGCTGATGGGTAATTCTTTGTGTATTTTCATACTCCTATTTAGTGTGTACCTATTTTTCTCACAGTATATCGAAATACGCTATTATCTGACTTCCTCGGGTAAGTCTACAAGACCAAATATACAATAACAAATCTATTGAGAAGATACAGTTATTTACATGCACAGAAGGTTATTGTGAGAAACTCTATCAAATGCCCTTGCTGATATTGGCCTGACCCACAATTCAAACGTTTGGGTACCTTCAAGAAAATGTCTGTATTTTTTAATGTCCTTTGAAATTATTACTCTAGTCATGCATTATACGATAAAAGATACACGAAACTGATGTCCAATGGAACAGTAAGCTTTGACAGTTCACATTCTTTATAGATAATAAGATGTTTAAATTCATTTCCATGATGTATTAGTTTCCTGCGGCTGCTGTTAAAAAGTACTACAAACTGGGTAGGGTTTGTAGTTGTTTGTTTGTTTTTTAGGAGAAACATATTGTCTCCCAGTTCTGGTGGCTAGAAGTTCAAAATCAAAGTATTAGCAGGGCCATGCTCTCACTGAATACTCTAGGAGAGAGTCTGTTCCGTGCCTCTTTCTTAGCTTCTGGTATTGCCAGCAATCCTTGCCATTCTTTGGCTTATAGACACGTCACTCGGGATAGCCTCTGTCATATGGGATTCTCCCTGTGTGTCTTCTCTGTATTTCTTCTCTTCTTCTTATAAGGACATCAGCCATGTTAGATTAAAGGCCCACCCCACTCCAATATGACATCATCTTAACTAATTACATCTGCAAAGACCCCATTTGCAAACAAAAACCACATTTTTGAAGTTCCAGAAAAGACATGAATTTTGAGGGTGCACTATCTAACCCAGTGCACGTGATAACACAATCCTCAATGAACTGACTGCTGTCAATCTCTCAGTTTTCAACTCCACTACTCAACTACTACATCCAACTTAGCAGACAAACAAATATATGTATTGAATGAGAAACAGTCCCTAGCTGGTAAAAGTAAAGTAGGGCCAGGAGCGGTGGCTCACGCCTGTAATCCCAGCACTTTGGGAGGCTGAGGTGGGTGGATCACCTGAGGTCAGGGTTGGAGACCACAGCCAGGGTAACATGGCAAAACCCCATCTCTACTAAAAATACAAAAATTAGCCAGGCATGGTGGCACACTCCTGTAATCCCAGCTACCCTGGAGGCTGAGGCGGGAGAATCGCTTAAACCCAGGAGGTGGAGGTTGCAGTGAGCTGAGATCGCACCATTGCACTCCAGCCTGGGAGACAAGAGTGAAACTCCATCTCAAAAAAAGAAAGTAAATTAGAGAGAAGCTAAAGAGTAAATCAGGCAGGATTTTCTGGGCAGAGAAGTCATGCTTGGCTATAAAGCTATGAAAGTACACAGAAATCAAACATAGCTCATTTAGATCAGGCATAATTATTATAATAAAAAGTCATTATCTTATGGCCTCACATAATATTATTGCCTATATATTTCTGTGTTGGTCCTTCATAATACTTGGATTTACATGCAGAATTGTATATTTCTGTATCATATTTTAAGTGCTCTGTAATGCATTAATTATTTGCTAGCCTCATGTAGGCTGCAGCTCTCCAGCCTTTAAGTTCAGTCATATGCCAACCTGAAGAACGTGAGGGATTGAGAGAGTGTCTTAAATGAGAGAAGCCCATGGTGGCCAGCTTCATCAGAAACCTAGTGTGGCTCTGGTTTTCGCCAGGTTCTTTGTTCCTTGTGACTCATTCTCTGCCTTGCATTGTCTATTCGGTCCCCTCAGGCCTGTCCTAGCTGGAAAGAGCTCTCTTTACTTCCTGATCCCATCTGTTCCTTGACCTCCCCTCTGACCCACCACTGGGCATGCTCAGAATAGGAAATTGTGCCATAATAGATAATCCTGACACTCTGTTCCATTTCTTCATGTTAGTTAATTACCATTCAAGGTCTTGAGGCCTACATTAACTGCTCTTAAATGTCAGGTCTATGTACCTATTGCCTGTTATGGAGCAGGCCTGTTGGTGACCAAAGCAGCATAACCTAGCATCTGTTGCTCAGATATCATGTCCCAGCACCCCAATTAATTGCCCTAGCCCTAGTCTAGCCAGTCTTCAGAACTGAATCATTATTTATTTGGTCTGTATGCAAACCAAACCCCATTTAAATCACATTCATCTACCCAGGACTCTCATTTATCAATCAAACTGACATTTTAAATGTCAGATGAGTTATGGTATATCCTTTGAGTGATCATGATAACATTCCCTCATATTTAGGAGATAAACTGTCTGCATACATCAATATTTTTAAACACCGAAGTAAGTGTCAAAGGTCTGAAAATTAATGATGAAATTTATCACTTCAGTATTCTGCATGCTTAAAAGATAGGAGTCACACCTACCTTCCAATAACCTATTATAAGAGCCAAAAATGATAGCTAACATTCAAAACTAGGTATCTATCATACAACAAATATTTTACAAATATGTTCTCATATAATATTCATATCACTGTTATTTTCCCACTTCATAGACACGGGCTTAGTGAAATTTCATAACTTTTTCAACATTACAATGAAAAATATCTGAGTTTCTTTAGTGGCTTTGCCTGTTGCAGACCTCAATTTTTTTTTTATTATACTTTAAATTCTGGGATACATGTGCAGAACATGCAGGTTTGTTACATAGGTATACACATGCCATGGTGGCTTGCTGCACCCATCAACTCATCATCTACATTAGGTATTTCTCCTAATGCTATCCCTCCCATAGCCCCTCACCCACCAACAGGCCCCAGTGTGTGATGTTCTCCTCCCTGTGTCCATGTGTTCTCATTGTTCAACTCCCACTTATGAGTGAGAACATGCGGTGTTTGTTTTCCTGTTCCTGTGTTAGTCTGATGAGAATGATGGTTTCCAGCTTCATCCATTTTCCTGCAAAGGACACGAACACATCTTTTTTAATGTCTGTGTAGTATTCCATGGTGTATATGTGCCACATTTTCTTTATCCAGTCTATCACTGATGGGCATTTGGGTTGGTTCTAAGTCTTTGCTCTTGGGAATAGTGCTGCAATAAACATACGTGTACATGTGTCTTTATAGTAGAATGATTTATAATCCTTTGAGTATACACCCAGTAATGGGATTGCTGGGTCAAATGGTATTTCTGGTTCTAGATCCTTGAGGAATTGCATACCTCAATTTTTAAATACAATTTAAAAATACAATCAATTTTTTATCTATATCACATTCAGGCCTACCTCTAAAGTATATAATGACAATCCCCGATTTACAATGGTTCCACTTACAATTTTTTGACTTTGCAATGGTATGAAATAGTGCACATTCAGTAGAAACCACACTTCAAGTATCCATACAACCATTCTGGTTTTCACTTTAAGTACAGTACTGAATAAAAGATACTCAACACTTTATTATAAAATAGAATTTGAGTTAGATAATTTTGCCCAAATATAGGCTAATCTCAGTGTTCTGAGCATGATTAAGGTAGGCTAGTCTAAGCTATGATGTTTGGTAGATTAGGTATATTAAATGCATTTTCCACTTATAATATTTTCAAATTATGGTGGGTTTATTGGAACATAACCCCACTGTAAGTCGAGGGATATCAGCAACGCGTTTAGGAAAAATAGAGGCAAAGTGTCCTCTAGGGTGGACTCAGCTACCAGGGCCACAGCCTAGTCAGGGACACTGCCTTTATGTGAAGGAAGGCTCTACTTCCTCAGGGCAGACACAATCCCATGAGTGTGTCTTGGATGCCTTTACAAAGGGCTGGATTTCAGTCCTCACCTGCCTTCTCAGCCGAGCATGCCTGGGCATGCAAAAATAGCACAATGGTACATGGAACCCTTAAATACATTCCATTAAAACAAATACATAAATTTGGCAGGGCAAAGTTAAGTTTAGAAATCTATTATTCAAAAGCCAGCAAGGATTCTAAAGTCCTTCAGTGATCTTAGATTGCGATCTTTTGAAGAAGACATTAAATATGATACCAATATCTGACCTCATTTATCAAGAGGAAATGTGAGTTTCTCTCAAAGGGTGTTGAGTAGATATCACGTGTTTACTATCTCTAACAAACAGAACTCATCCAGATGATAATCTTGGTCTTGCCTGCCGGTGATGATCTAGTAAACTTATAGACACAGCAATTTTTTAGCAAACTTTAAGATAGTATAACAAAATTTAAAGACAAAACTAAGGATTTTTAAACCTTTAATCTTATTTAAATTAGAACTCTATCAATGAATTAAATGTCCAACCTAGGTGTTAAAAATTCTCTATTACTCTAATAATTTCTCCCCAAATTTTGTAACATATTCGATATTCCAGAACTCTTTGCATTGTAATAGCATTTTGTTGCATATGAAATACGTCACGTATCTCATTAAATACTAAAGCAAAACATTAAAGGAAAAATTACTGTCCCAATCCTACAGATGAGGAAATTGAGTCTCAGTATAGTTAGATCATCTTTCTAAGGGAAACACAAGACTTTTGTCTTTATCAATTAGTCACATCATTTATATCATTTATTGAGCACTGTTCTAAGGGTATCACAAATGGCGGCTGCTCTTTGAATCATCAACAGTCCAACAAGGTGTAGGTGCTGTTATTTTCCCCATGTTTACAGAAGAGGTAGATTGAGGAACAGAGAGGTTAAATAATGTGCCCAAGGTCAAATGCTGGTAGAGAATAAAACCATTTTTTATGTATGAGTGCCTATTTCTTACAAAACTCTTTATATATATTATGTTCAGTATTTTAGGAACCAGAAAGGGTGATATTGTTATTCCCATTTTATTATTGATAAATCTGAGGTTGAGAAAGGTTAAACAACACAACCAAATTTACGTGACTAATGAGTGACAACCAGGAATCGAGCCCACCTTTTGCTGTTTCTGAAACATGTATTCTTCCCAGAATAACCTTTAATCTCTCAATAACAGCTCATACAATTCCTCCTTCCCATCTCACAAAACCTATTCTGAGCTCTATGTCTACCACGAATAAGCCCAAGAGTAGAGAGAATTTATCTCACAAGGCTTACCGTATACCCCTTTTCAATAATTTTTATCACATTATTTCTCTTTCTCTTCCTTAGTCAACAACATTTAATTTACTCCTGAAACTATCCCTACACTAATCTGAAGTTGTTAAATTACTAAGTTATTTTGCATTCATATTTCCAAAATTAATTGTCCAAGTTCATCTCTCAAAATGAAATAATTTCAGCTAGAAATGAGCTGTGGCACAGTAAGCCTTTGGATGGGGAAGGTAATTATAATTGTTCTGTAACTCTGGTTATGGAACATGATCTGGACAGTGAGAGTTGGATAGAGAGGGAAGCCACTGGGGGTAGTGTGACTAAGACACTGTTTTAGAATCTGAGGATATGAGTTCAAGTTCCACAGCTAACACCTGCTAGATTTGTAGTCTGTAAGTTGTCAAATTTCAAAGAATCTTATATTCCTCTTGGATAAGAGATAGGTAATAAAAACTACCTGGCACAGATGGTTTTGTAGAAAATCCAATAAAATAACTGTGGAAACTTTGAAATTTTCAAGTGCCATTAAAATATCAAATACCAATTTAATAATTAGCTTATGATCAGATGGTTAGGGACGTTGACTGCCGAAGTGTATATTCAAATCAATGCAGTATAGGCTTTAAAGTAGGGCCAAAGCATGAAATGCATTTTAATAAGTGTACACTTCTAGGATTCTTTGAAAGTTGAAAAAATAATTAGTAAGAAAATGGAGATGAAGCCCTACACTAGGATGATAGCACTTAGAAAAAGATAAAAGTGAATAGATGTGTCAAAAGCAGATTTAATGGGAATTGACAAAAAGGGACGAATACTTGAAACTGACTCAAAGATTTTGAGTCTGAGGGATTGGAAGAGTCAGGGGACTGCTGTTGGAAGAGTGGGAGCAAATAGAATCAGAAAACACACGCACACACCAAAAATAACTGGTTTTGGATATTTTGAGAGCCATAGCCCAAAAGCTAAAGGCTGTTCTATGTTGAATTATCAAAGCCACTTTCTGATCTCTGTTTTTATGCTGTTTTTTTTTTTAGCATTTTCAAATTTTTCCTCACTTAAGATTCTGTAAAATTTTTATTGCTTATATGCTTGTGTAAGAAATTCATATCATGTGATTGTGCTCCAAAAATTTTTAGTAGGATAATAGCATTTTACTGCTTCTGAAAATGACCTGCAATATTAGGTTATTATTTGTTATATTAGGTCTAGAAACAGCATAAACTATTGACTGAAGTTTGACATTTTAAAATTCTCTAATAAACTGGAGGAAAGTCCACCTCTGCTGGAACTCTGCAGTGCACAGAAGGCAAATAATAGACTGCTATCCTGCCATGGCTTCGCTTAATACAAATTTGTACAATATATACAATTTAAAAATGAATTCATAACATTTCTATTTTCTCATAAAACATTGTGATATGTCAGGCCAGTAACAGGTGTGAAAATGATGGAATCAAATCCTCACAGAATACGTGTTTAGAACAGACCTCTTCAGTAAAGACAACTTTTAAAAATACAGGCCGGGCACGATGGCTCAAGTCTGTAATCCCAGCACTTTGCGAGGCCGAGGCAGGTGGATCACCCGAGATCAGGAGTTCGAGACCAGCCTGGCCAACATGGTGAAACTCCTTCACTACTAAAAATACAAAATTAGCCAGGCATGGTGGCACACGACTGTAGTCCCAGGTACCTGGGAGGCTGAAGCAGGAGAATCGCTAGAACCCAGGAGGCGGAGGTTGCAGTGAGCCAAGATCGTGCCACGGCACTCCAGCCTGGGCAACAGAGTGAGACTCCATCTCAAAAATATATATGTGTGTATATATATATATATATATATATGTATATGTGTATATATCTATATCTATATATATCTATATCTATCTCTATCTATCTATCTATCTATCTATCTATCTATCTATCTATATAAAGTTTTAGGAGAAATCTGCTCAGAATTGCATTCCTCTCTTACTCATAGTGATAAGGGGACCTCGTAGCTAAAAAGTCTTGTAGAGGAGGTTAAAAGTTCTTCAAAGTAAAAACATTCTCAACTCCAGAAAACAACATGTAAGTCAACCCACTCATGTTTTCTAAGCCAATATCTTAGAAAGTTGTTGTCGACTCCTCATGAGCCTCTGCTACCCACAGCCAATCTGTTGCTAAATGTTGTGAATTCTTTTTTATTGTATTGTATGTCTTAATAACTTTTTTCTTCACTTGCCAAAATAAAATCCATATGCTCCCCCCACCCTACTGCATGGTTCTCCAGTAAAGACTATAGATATTTTTTCTGCTTATTTATATATATTAAATAGATTTTTAGGCAGTAATTTGAAAATCACTTTGTCTCTTTGAAGTTGCAAATTGTTATAGACCAAGGCTGGTTCATGCCCATAAAGGTTGTTTAATTAATCGAATTTGATATGACAGAGTATTACACACAAAATAGTGGACGGAATATGCACAAAACAAGTTTTTCACAAAAGGAAGTGAAAAGCTTGTGCCAAATTCATCTGTGTAACACTAGAAATAAATATTTTAAAAATATATTTATTGCTTAGTTTAAAAAACTGGCCATTTCTGAGCTTTAAGCTATCATTGGAAGCTTTATAATTTAAGGTTTTATTTGCTTGCTAAATATAATTGAGCTGTTTAATTGTAATCCTTAGCCTTGGCTCCTTAGCCAATGTAGAGCTTAATAAATTCACCTTTAGATTATCAATAATAAACACACATGGTAAAATCTAATATTGCAATAGTCCGTAAACTTCCGGGCTTACTTTCTAAAAGCAGATAAGCAGAGTTATTGAAGAAGAATCGTGTGTCTATATTTCAGAGGCATAAACTCATTTTAGGAGTCATTATTACTACACTACTTTCACAGCATACCTTTAATCAAGTATCAGAAATAAAGTAGAACACATCAGAAAATAAGTGGTCTGATAAACAATTTACCACACCTGAAATGCAGACTTTCATACGAAAAATGTTCTAGCACAACAGGGTCCACAGGCAATCAACAATCCTGTTCTCTTCCTTCTCCTGGGCTGATCTATTAGCATGGCTAATAGATCATTGCACTCTCCTACAGAGGCCAGATGGGACTTCTCCACATTTTAGTTCAAGAAGATACTACCAATTAATTAGAGTTGGCACTTGAGGTTATTATTTGCTTTGCTTTACTTACTTTCTTTCTTTTTTTTTTTTTTTGCATACAGACTTAGACAGCTAAATTAAAATCATATTGAACATCTCCTTCAATGTGATATTAGGACATTTCTAGAAGTGTTTACTTGAATCTACAGATTTTGAGCTATAAGGGACTTGAGTTTAGGAATTTAGTTTAAATTTGACTAATAGCATACAGTTTTCTACCTCAGCCTAATAAACTCACTGACTCTAATAACGAATTTGAAAAACAACATGTCCTTAGCATCCTGACAAACCCACAGAACTGCTGCTCCTTCCTCCTACATGTCAGTTTGGGTTTCAGCATTGCATGACAAAAATCTCAATTTTCTTTATGTGTTAGAAGTTCATAATTGGAAGTGTGAATAAAAGTTAGGGGAAAAATGACTTAAACTTCAGCAGCAGGAAAAGATAATCTTTACTGTCTGTCTAGTTTTAGAGCATCCAATAAACAAGAACATCCATCAAAAAACTCTTTGGTGGCTTGAGGAAATGTGGGGAGTGCCTGAGTATCACGCTATCCTTCTTGTGAAATTTTTGATAATACATGTCTGTAGTAAGCATGATTCACAACTACTAACTAAACAATTTATAATTCCAACAATTTCACCTAAATTACACAAAGGTGTGTTTAGAATATACAGGAGAATAGCCAGTATGAAAAAAAAATGTATTCAGAGAAAAGACAAATAATACAGCTCAGGAATGAAATGTTTCTCAGCTAAGGGACGACATAGGATCACAATTCATCTAGGTGTTTTTTCCGCAGTTGCTTTCAGTACATATTTATACAAACAGAATAAAAGAAGTACCGGAACCAAATAAGTAGTAAACAAAGGGGGAAAGAGATGATTTTGTAATTTGCAATGCTCATGCACAGAAAATAAAATGAAGGTAATAATAGCACAAAAAGAAAACAAGGGCATCAAGTAAGAAGAGGAAGAAAACCAAAACACACAGGACAAGAAGATGGGGCGTTAAAACAAGAAAGCTCTAGTGGAGCAGTAACTGAGGGTAAAGGAAGCGCTCAAGTTTTGATGTATAGGAAGCAAAGAAGGTAACTGAAAGTGATTAATGATGTTGTTTTGGCAACAGAATAGCAGATTAAGGGCAGCTTTCTGAACTGATTGGAAAGGATGCTGAAGGAAGGAAAGGTGCTCAGTGTGGGAAATCGGAGATGGCAGGATACAGGAATACCAGGTCAAGAGAGATCTCAGTAGTATATTCTAGGTTTTAAAAATATAATGGAGTGATTGATATAGTTTGAATAGTAGTCTAGGTGTTAGAAAGAGACACAGCTCAACAATATCATTATCAATCATCGCTGAGAAAAGGCAAGGAGTAATTTAACAGGAATGATAAGCTTACAGGAAATTAAAAGTGAAATAAGATATATGAGAAGATGTGAGAAAGAGATTAACAGGATTATTCTTTAAAACATGGAAGTAAATTTGAGAAACATTTCCCTTTCCAAATAATAACCCATACTCCTAAATTAAAACTTATGGTGAAATAATACAGCATAATTTTCTACATACGGATGAATTCAGTAAGGAGAAATACTTAATTTCTAAAAATTGAAAGCGCAAAGTTATTTTGATTTGTAAAGTTTTCAGATCATTCCTCTATTAAATATCAGTGACTTTGCTTACTACTTTTTCAGGTATTGTGGGGTATGTATCCAAAAAAGTGTGTTACCTGATTTATGCATTTATGTCTATTTTTTAAAACATTGCTTCTTCTATAATTTCTCCTCTTTTCAGTTCAAAGAATGGAATATAGTACAAAGAACCTTGAACAAAAAGTCATGGCTGGGCTTTATTTCTGAATATACATACATACATATATATATATATATTTTTTTTCCTCAGTGTGTATTCATTGAGTGAACCTGAATGAGCAATTTAAACTGTCTAGGCTGCCTTTTACTAGTCTATCAAATAAAAGAATTAATTTCTACTCAAATAAATCTAGAAGGCTATTAATGGGATATTAACACATTTAAAAGTGGTTTAAAGTAGAAAAAGCACCATCGATATGTATCACTGATTTGCTTATCCATTCCACAAATTAAGTACCTACTATGGAGCAGATGCTGTCTTGGTTCTGGGACAACATCTATGAATGACACTGAAATTGTCCCTGCTCTCCTATCAGGTATTGGTATTATTAAAAACTGACGTATTTCTGAGAAGTCCTGAGAATTCTTTCTGTAGTAGGAAACAACGCTTGAATAATTTCTGCTGAAGAACATTTAAAAACACAGTTATGAAAGCTGGAGAGTAATCCATATTATTGTCCTTGCTTCAGTTTATTTTTCTATTATTATTTTATGCATTTTAATGTAGGTAAACTAACTTCGATTTAGGTCTTTCTCCTTGCACAACTTCAGGGAGGACTGTTCATAGAAAATATAACTTGAAAATTGTGTCCTTGAATTTATGCACTAAATGGTACTGCTTCAATTCATATTCTTCAATTCGACTAGTAATTATTTGAAAGATTTTTAACTTTATAATTTGAAAGAAATTAGACTTATATGAAAGTTGTAAAAATTGAATCACATATTCTAATGTATCCTTCACCCAGAATTTTTTTTTACTTTATCTTAAATATAATTTCTTTTTGTCTGTATTTTAGAGTCAATTTCTACTCAGAAGAACAAGTATATAATGAAAAACTGTTAAAATGTGTGTGGCACAGAAAAATGATTTTGAGAGTAAAATTTGAGCATGGAAAAGAAGATGACTTAATTATTATACTTATATTCAAGCACAGGGGACCAAAACTTTTCTCAGCAATATCATGTCTAGTAAGAGCAGAGGAAAATATTTAAAAGCTTGGACTTGGGAACAAAATGGCCCAGAGTCACTTCCCATTTACCACTTATGAATGGTGTGGCCTTCAGCATGCTCATTAACCATTCAGTGTCTTAAATTCCTTTTGTGTAAAGAGAGAATATTATCATATATCATTTAAAGGCTTTATAAAGATTAAATGAGTTAATATTTATAAAGTGCTTAGAAAAAATGTCTGGCACACAGTAAGCACCATTAATGGCTTGATAAAAGTAATTTGACAGGTAAACCAACAGTACTCTTTCTATTTTGTAATGTCAAATCATGGCTACACTTGAACTCTGAGATAAAGAGAAAGATTGGGGGCATGGAAGAGTAGCGTGTGTGCATGTGTGTGTGTGTTTGTGTGTGTATATATTTAGGTGTTAAAATATTTTATCTAAGTTTCCGGAATTCTGCACAATGTAGTGAAAATAAATTGGTAAAATCACGTTTATGGCTAATGGCAAACATATATACAATGTGGCAATTACTACTTCCAAAATACTGTTGAACAAAAAATAACTTTATTTACTATATATTTTTTAACATCAGAAAGAACGTTGGGATCCTACAATCCTGCCAAATCTTGATTTTGACCTGTATGGTACTGGGATTGTAGTGGGCTCAGGTGTTTTGTTGACCTTTGAATTATTAGCCATACTCTGAAAGTTGTTTTTGAAATTGAATCCTAGAAAATTCCTGATATATAGCTTTTTTTTTTGGAAACTTGCATTCAGATAATTTGGGTCTTAAGGTAAATTTAAATTAACCCTATTTAGAAACGTCAAGGAAATTAAACATATTAAAGAGATATTGGTGTCACATATACAAACTTACATGAGCCTTCTTTAGGAAGAAGCAAGCAGATAAATGAAAATTAGAAAAATATTGAATTGTGGAAAACAGAAGTCAATGAGGAAAAATTAGTAATTAATCCAATGTAGTACTCTGAGATCATTGATGATGCCTTGAGTGTGGCTGGGAGTCTACCTGGATTATTGATGGGGAGAAACTTTTGATGATCATGGTGACAAAATCAAAGAGAAGGCGTAAAGGATACAGTTATATTCCCTAAGTAAAATAATTAGTTATAGGATTGAGAATTTCAAATAAAAAGCAATATGGAAAAGCATTTATTATATAAATAATGTAACTGGCACAGAACACAGAAATGCATGAATACCTTTTGAATTTCCAAATAAGATAGATTCCTGTCAACTCTCTAGAAGATAGGTTTTTTTTTTTGCCTCTATTGATTCTCTTGCATGCACAAAGTCTTTGAATATTTGTTTCTCATCAGATTTACCTTCAACAGTATTGGGGCCTCCCAATTACATACATGCTTTTATTACCCAATGAACAGAAAAAAAACAATTACTGTTCATATTATTTCAACTGAAATCAAGCTTGTTAAAAGCTCTCTCACAATTGTTAATTTTGTACATTTGCAAAAATCAATAGCTAGAAAATTTACTAGACACGAAGGCCTCTGAAACAATACAAATGATCTTTATGCCCTAGGGCTACGAATTTATTGATAAGGTTAACAATCCTTGGGTAATGACAGCTTACTTCTCTTCTGAATCTAGCCTAAAGATTCCATTAAATATATTTCTAAACAACAAAAATGTCTAGATGAGAGTCTAAACTGATTTCAAGTGTTTGCTTCAAAGGACAAAACAAAGACAGATGCTCCCTTCCAGCCAATGACTTAGACAATCCATATTAAAGATTGAAGTCAATGGTCATGATATACTAGGTTGGGCAATCTGGCTTGAATGTGACATTGACTGGTTTAAATTTTGAATTAATGTTCTCTCAAAATATTTCATCCATCAGTTGGTTTATTTACACTTATTATTTACCAATTACTGACATAGGTGCTAACACGCAGCAAAAACTTTTAAAATTATTTTTATTTGTATTTCCTTTTTAATTTTAATAGCTTTAGGGGTGGAAGTGGTTTTTTGTTACACAAATGAGTTCTATAGTGGTGAATTCTGAGATTTTAGTGCACCTGTCACCTGAGTAGGGTATATTGTACCTAATGTGTCCTTTTTTTTAATCGCTAGCCCCCCTCCTAGAACTCTTGATGAATTCAGAATCTAGGGAGAAAGTCAGAAAAGCAATCAGTCAATACAACGTAGTACAGAGGAAAATCTCTGAATAGACTTCCATGTAACCAATGCCTACTCAGGTAATTTGCCAGATTAACAAACACCCTGCATTTCCTCTGAAAAGTACATTGGCTAATGCCCAGGGCAAGATGGATACTTTTAGGTAATACTCAACTCATTGGTAGACCCATGAGGTTCCGCTCTCACAAGTTGAGTATGTACCCAAAAGCTAACTTAGTTAAGCCAGTTATAATTATTTCTAGAGTTACATAAAGATTATCAACTGAAAAATGTAAGCTCCATGAAGACGAGGGCTTTGCCGTTCCCAAGTAACTAGACTAGATCCTGCTTAATATTTATTAAGTCATACACTTACAAAAGTTTTTATTTATGCAAAATCTAAACTGAATGTTGTAGAAATAATCAATAAATATGGTTGCAAAATGATTCAAATGCTTGGACAGACAAATGTAAAATTTTATTAAAAATAATAAAAATCTTTAGTTCTATGTGCAGATTGCTTCACAAATATCTTTTATTTCTCATTCAGATATAAAGAAACTGAAACTGGAAATTATAGATTATGCTAGCTATGAGCAATAGAACTATGATCCAAGCCACATAGGTAATTTTAATTTGTCTGATACCCACATTACAAATAATGAGAAATGGGTAAAACTAACATCCATACTGTATTTTACTTAACCAAACAGATCCCAAATACTATCATTTCAAGATGCAACGCATATAAAATTATTATTGAGATCTTTCATATTATTTTTACACTAAGTCTTCAAAGTCCAGTGTGTATTTTACATTTATAGTACCTCTCAATTCATGCTAGCTACATTCCAATGGCCATAGATGGCAAGTGGCTACCATACTGAACTTCACAGAAGTAGACAATATGGATGTGATTTCTGTAAGAAAGAGAAAAATAATCTCACTCTAATCTGTGAATTTCTGTAGTAGGTATGAGGTCTAGGTCTATGTACATTTTGTTTGTCCGTGGATGTCCCATTGATCCAGCACCATTTGTTGAAAACACTACTCTTCCTCCACTGAATTTATTTTGAAACTTTGTCAAAAATATGTTGGGCATATTTGTGTGGGTATGTTTCTAGACTCTTTATTCTGTTCAATTGATCTATGTGTCAATCCTTCTGACAATATAACACAATATTTGTTGCTGTGGTTATGTGGTAAGTTTTAAAATCAGATCTTATTGTATAAGCTTAACAACATATAATGTTACTGAAATGATAACTTCCGCAATTTGGGGAAAAAACAGACCAGATGGATTGAACACTCCTTTAAACTCTCTCTCTCTCTCTCAGCTGTCTAAATGCCTCAAAATGGAAATTCAACAGATGAGAGCTTCTTATTGAGAAAGGGGAAGTAGTAGGGGAATCTATTTTGACCACCTCTCTGGTTTGAAACCTCTGGGGGTTTAAGAGAAAAGGAGATTCAAGATATGGCTTAGTTTTAATGTTAATGCTACAGTAGTACAGCTGGGACTTGTCCTACATTTACTGAGAACTCTAATTTACGAAAACTAGATCCTAGCATTCTGAAAGCAGATTTGAGACCTCTAAAGCTATTTCTTTTACAGTTTTTTCCACCTTTGGTTGCAGTCTATTGTATTGTCCTGATTCTTTTTTTCACCTACTCGTAGGTTATTCTTAATCACTTGAAACCAACCACTTCTATGTATATGATTTTTGCTTCCTTTCCCTCACAGATCCCTCAGGTACCCTGTCTTATACTTTTAGTAAGTCATGCAAAATAATTGAGAAATGAGTCATGCAATTTATTGCTGCATTTTATTAAATTAGAGTGGTCAGATATACTTTTACTGACAGAGATTTGGATTTTACTGTCTTGAAACAGAAGAGAGAGCAAAATGGTTAAGAAGGTGATGAGAAAATGAACTGACATTTATGTAACAGTGCCTTATTATTAATATATGGTTGGTGCTGTGCTTTGTACCCTTTGAGAGATATTTTGTGATCCAATTTTATAGATAGGAAAAGGATCTCTAAATATTCAGTTTTGGAACTGATGTTCTAACCAGGTCATCCTGACTTGAAATTTCAGGTGATTCCCTCATGATGCATCTTGACGCAAACAAAAAATGTACTGAATATATTATTATAAATGTGAGTAACTAGAAATGCATGGGAAAGAAGAGGGGAGGAAAAGAGTAAAAAGGAATATTAAACAAATGTATTCAACAAACCTTTATTGAGTGTCTATTATATGGCTGGCTATGTTCTAGGTACTGGAGGTGTGGTAACTTGGGAAAATTTTATCAACATATATTACAGTATTTTCTGCATAATTCCCCGCCATACTTTTATTTCCTTTGAATTCACAGTTTCCATTAAAATAATTTATTGAGTTAAAGCCTAGAGCATAGACAGGCAACTTTTCAAAGATACCATAATAAGTTTTTATTTACTCATTTTTGAAAGAAGGACTAGTCGGATGCTGGCCATAAACAGGGGCTAAAATTTCATCCATCTTTCCATTTCCACCAATGGAGGTGTAGAGTTGGAATGAAGTTAAGTGACCAAGCCTCTTGAGAGAGGTGAAGGATATCTCAGGAATAAGCAACTAGCAATAGACAAAGGAGAAAAATCGAAACAGAGAGAAAGAATGGTTTGGTGCTGTCCATTCCCCATCCACCACTGCCAAACATACTTATACAACTCTGGCCACTCAAACTACCTAAATGAGCCAACTTCGATGAAACAAACACTATTGGGAGAGATTACACTCCCGTGGTAGTATCAAGTAAGATCTTATCCTGCATTTAACGCATTAGGAGGAAGTATTTCACCAGTAGCTAAAAACATTATTAGTCTAACATTAACTGTTTCTATCAAAGGGATTTAATTACATGACATTAAATAGTACATGCACTTGTATACAAATAATTTTTTTCTCAACAAACACAGAAATAATAAAATAGAGAAAAGACTAGGTGACAGATCACATATATTGAGATACTTGCCATAAGGTGAGACTGATCAACATCCTTCTTCAAGGATATAAAAATTTAATTTACTTAGAGGGGGTTTCAGAAATTACTAATTGAAAGATCTTACTTAACAAATTTTTTTTACATTAGAAAAAATCAGAACTTGGTAAATCCTCTTGTCACTATTAGTAAAATCATGTTAATTAGTCCAAAACTTTATTTTAATACACTATACTTTTCCTATACTTCAGTCAATAACTTAGTTTGTGGTTTTCTATAATTCAATCACTAAGTTTATTTAGAGAAAAATATCCTTAACTTGGAGTCCAGTGGTCTTTGAATCTCCCAAAATATATGCAATATTTTATGTCCATGTGTGTACATCATGAGTATAGATTCTGTGTTTACATTTGATTTTTAAAAAGATGCATGTTTACCCTCCAACTAAAATCATGAATTTATTGTTTTAAATTTAAAAGTTGGCTAAATGGCTATGATGTTTATGTATTTTCATCAAAAGGGTAGTTGTTTGTGTTTTATTTCCAAGTCTATGACTTGATGTACAAAAACCTTTACACTGTATCGTACCCCAAAAACATACTCAGATTCAAAAGAGAGAGGAATTAGAAAAATAATGAAACATTTCAGTTTAAAGTGTCTTCTCAGTGGCAGATTCAGTGTATTCATTACTTTTGCTTCTTCTAGAGATTAAAGTGCATAATCTAATCTCATAAACAGTAGCTAATTCATACTGGCTTAATAGAAGATCAGTTGGGAATAATAAGCTCGATAGAATGATAACATTATTACTGGAATTCTCAGAAGAACTTGGCAATCCAAGCAAGATGGATAAGACTAATAAAATATTACAAAGAATAAAGAAAAAGTTAAGATTTATGATAGTCTATTTATGTTTCTGTTATTATGTCATATAATACCATAAGCTGAGGTAATTCATATAGTCTGTTCTACATTTCACCAAATCACCCTTAATAACTAAACGATAAAGTGATAAAATTCAAGACACTGTGTTGGAAAATAAGAGGGCAGAGGGAAAGGAGCTTGGATGATAAATAATAATTAACTCCAATTTCTAAGGACCTTAAAATCTGGTTGTCAATAAACATCAATACACATAAAAATTATTGTATCTATATAAGATTGGTAACTACAAAAAAAAAAAAAAAAAAAAGAATCCCCAGAATCCCCAGACCCTGCAGAATTGGGATTGAGGGTAGAATGACAAGGGTCCTCACAGCTGACAATCATGGGAACGACAAGGAGAACAAAAGACATTTCACACTTCTCAAAGAGATTACTACCTGTTTTGAGGATCACTTGTCAGGAGTGCATCTTCTGTGACTATGCAGGGTGGTCAGGTAAAAGGAAGTTACTACAGTAAAGGATGGTGATGAGGAATGGTGAGTTTCCAGGTCACTGGAAACTGAAAGTCTCCTATGAACTCGAGAAGCCGCAAAACCAAGGAAGAGAAAGAGTAATTTTATAATAAATGTTGCTGTGGATTTCTTCATATCTGTTTTAACACTTTTGAGTTATTTAAGTGTGTGACTACTTAATTAATTTTTGTTATTGTTGTTTTGAATGTGGCATCTACCCAAAATTGGACTGCATTGGTCTCTGTATTTACAAGGCTTATATTTGCATATATTAACTTAATGCAATACATAACAACCAGATGAACAATCCAGATATAGGGGAAAGTGATTACACCTTGTACTGGGATGGACAAGGAGGACTTAATTAAGGAATTTAGAGAAGCTCAGT
Source organism: Homo sapiens (assembly GCF_000001405.40). Lineage (NCBI taxonomy): Eukaryota > Metazoa > Chordata > Mammalia > Primates > Hominidae > Homo > Homo sapiens. The sequence goes on from NC_000023.11 coordinate 33,174,648, forward strand.
CATGAAATTAGGGTAAACTTCAAACAAGAAAAAAATAAAAAAGGATGGGTTGAAACTAGGGTAGGATTGAAATAAGAAGGAAATAGATGAACATTAGAGATAATCACTTAAGTGAAAACATAAAATTGAGAATGCCTTATCATGAAATTCATGCATGAAATTCTGTCATGCCTGTTGATCTGTTTAAAAAATAATAGTAGCCACAAATATTCTCAAATGATCATGCATCGAATCTTGTGGACCCCAAGAGTAATCATATCCCTAAGGGAGCTAAATAACGTATGAGTGTAGATGTCTATTGCAATGCAGTTTTTCAAAATGCCATTGACAATTTGTTGACTTCCTTCAAGGTTGGCTTAGCTTTCTTTCTCAGCCTCCAAAAGGCTATCAAGTTTCCCATGTAGTTCTTTGAGATGATCGATCTATGTTTTGGGAGGAGTTGCAAAATATATGAGATATAGCCACCTTCTGTATCAGAAGGATTCCCTCTTGGGTTATCAGAACAATCAAAGAAGCTATCTGATTACTGGAGGAGAGACTGACATAAAATTGTAGTTTTTAACTTCTTGTGAAAGTTGTGAGAGCTTGACACTGCATGCAGGAGTAACTTAAGAACAATCTTCCCTCTGTGGCTTTGAAATCACCCCATGTGGGATAACTACAAGGCCTGTTATTGTTGGAAGAGCTAAGCAATAGTTTAAAGAGAACTAGATTTGTTACAAAAATCAAGATGGCTGCCTAAAATTCAACATACTAGGCCTATTTACGTATATTATGCCCAAGGCACTTGGCTGGTAATACAGGGGCTAAACAAAGAAAGAAAATTAGTTCTTGCCTAGGGAAGGAGGAAAAGGAATAATTTATTGAGTACCAATTATACACTATGCCCTTTATATTTATGTCATCCAATGCACAAAGCTTTATTATGATTTAGGAAATATTATACTCACTTTACAGGAAAAAAGCACCATGAAGTGAAAAGAACATTGACTACAGAGTCAGACACACCTGAGTTTGAAGTGTGGCTTAGCCTCTTAATAGTTCTAAGAAAGGAATTTAACCTCTTCGAGGCCAGTTTTCTGATTAGTAAAACAGGGAAGCATATTACCTTCTATTGTGAAGGAGCAAATACCGGCTATGCTGTTTTGCAGTTAACATTCATATGAAAGGTATAAGATAATAATAAGTAAAATGTATTATTTTATTAAATGTATATCATGTTCCAGACCTTATTATATGCTAAGACTTTTCCATATATTATCTCATTTAATCTTCATAGCAACCAGGTGAGGAGGGGCCAGGAATTTTTCCATTATTTTACAGTTAAGGAAACTAAAGCTCAGATTTAAAGAAACCTGGGTGCAGTCAAATCAAAAAAGATTAAGTGGCTGAACCGGCATGAGCTATATCGTGCTCTCATCTCAGAGAGCCTTTCGCATAGACATCTGAGGAGGAACAAAGGGTAACAATAACAGCTCTTTCTCTGACCCTCCTGATTTTCAAGCCAGCCCCTTCCACATGCCCACTTCAACCCTTGCCAAGATTCTTGTGTATGAGTAACTCTGTTACCTAGTCTAGTTTTGCATGAATCCCTGTTCCTCTTCAAGCACTTCTTTAGCTTCAGGTTTTCTAATCTGGAAACTTCTGTTTCTGAATTAGACCTGAACTAATTTAGGCTGTCAAAAGGTTTGTGTCTTGAAACTTCCCCTGAGTCGGAACAATAAATATTGTGCATAAATAGAAACTCAGCTGAAATAAGGAGAAGAGTTAATGTAAAAAAAAAAAAAACCAGGTATACGTATAATTATATTGTCAACTAAAAAATAAAATGAAATAAAAGCTTCGGCTTCATACGTGGATTCAGGGATTCACAAGAGAGCAGGTTTGCAGCCACGAAAAAGCAAGCACAGAAGTGTGTGTGTGTGTGTGTGTGTGTGCGCTCATGTGCACACTCAAGCTGTTGATGGAACATAGCATTTGTGAGTGAAGGGATGAAAATTAGAATAGGCCAGGCGCAGTGGCTCACGCCTGTAATCCCAGCACTTTGGGAAGCCAAGGCGGGTGGATCATTTGACGTCAGGAGTTCAAGACCAGCCTTGCCAACATGGTGAAACCCCATCTCTACTAAAAATACAAAAATTAGCCGGTCATGGTGGCGCTCCACTTGTAATCCCAGCTACTCGGGAGGCTGAGGCAGGACAATTGCTTGAATCCAGCAGGCGGAGGTTGCAGTGAGCCGAGATCATGCCATTGCACTGCGGCCTGGGCTACAAGAGCAAAACTGTGTCTCAAAAAATAAAATAAAAAGAGAAAGTGCTCAAAAGAGAAACTGTGTGAAGGGGACAGTTTAGGGCTTGGGGAAAACAAAACAAGAATGCGATCTCACCTAGAGACCAATTTCCACATGATCCCACAGGGAGCTCTGGAGGGCAAATTGCATCCCAGAGCTGATCTCACCTTGTGGCAAATGGGTTGGACTCTTGTACTTTCAGTCGTTGGTTGCAAACTGACCTGAGGTGGGGCACATATGGCCTTTCAGGCTCCTGGCTTTCTTCAGGGTAAGAACAAGTCTCTGGAGAAGGAAGCAGCTGTGGGCAACAAGCACTCCCAGCAGCTAGGGGATGGGTGTGCTACCTGGTGATGGGGACTTCAGTAGAACATATCAGTGCCCACTAGAGTCAGAGAGAATTGATTTGGGTCTTAAAGACAGTATACAAACGGAAATTTTATTTTATTTTGTTTTATTTATTTTTTTGAGACAGGGTCTCACTCTGTCACTCAGGCTGGAGTGCAGTGGTGCAATCTCGGCTCACTGCAACTGCCGCCTCCCTGGTTCAAGTGGTTGTCCTGCCTCAGCCTCCCTAGTAGCTGGGATTACAGGTGCGCACCACCATGCCCGACTAATTTTTTGTATTTTTAGTAGAGACGGGGTTTCACCATGTTGGCCAGGTTGGTCTCGAACTCCTGGCCTCAAATGATCCACCCGCCTCAGACTCCCAAAGTCCTGGGATTACAGGCGTGAGCCACCGCGCCCGACCTTATTTTATTTTATTATAATAAGAAGACAACATAAGATCTACTCTCTTAACAAATGTTTAAGTATACAATACGGTATTGTTAACTACAGGCACACTGTTGTGCAACAGATATCCAGAACCTACTCATTTTTTATAACTGAAACTTGATATCTGTTGACAACGGGAAATATTTTCTTTAGTCTCATGATATTAAAAATGTATCTGAATTTATGATTTTTAGATAAAGCACTCATAGAGACTATTGGGCAAAATACGAACAGATGTATTGATTTCTCCAAGGGTTCCAAACTGGAATTTTAAAAAACTTGAGTTAAGATTCATGCATATTTAGTAACAACCTAGTAACACGGATGTATGCCCTCAGAGAATGGGAATCAGAATCTAAAGTATTGTCACTAGAGATTGAAACAAAGCTTTCAACTCCAATTGTTATAAAAGAAGGAATTAGACTATTTTGACATAATCCACTGCAAGGGAAAGTAAGCAGAAATATCCAGTGGGATTTGGAGGAAAGCTGTGTAAAGGGCGCTTCTTAAATTGGACAAACCCTTTCACTCTGCTGGAGTCCTTCCTGACACCTGGAAAGAGGCTGGAGGTCCAGCAGCCATTTTAGACAATGATGTTACATCGAAGACCGAAAGTTGCACAGAAAGATGGAAGGTTCCTGGGTCCTTGACCACCATGGCCCTGCTCTACCGGCAATGTACTGCTTCCAGCTGGAGCTCACTCATGTGGCAAGGCAACAAATCTCTCTTACTTAACACACTTCTATTTCTGGATTTCTGATACACGCAGCCAAACCCAATCCTACCTGATGCACTCATTTTTTAATACTCAAAATGGGAACTATCTTACCATTATCACTTTTTGTTACACCTCAGATTTTCCTGAAAAAGTGCATTGTCAAAACATATCATTATTTTTAAAACAAAGAGTGTATAAATGTATTATTAAATACATTAAAACCAGACAAAGGCTCATAAATTAATGCAAACGTGTGGAATAGTTTCATCACACAAGTGAAAATTAAATTGGACTGCTCTGCCATAATAAAGCTCTGTTTGCCTGCTTTGAAATGAAAAGCATCATGCAACTTTTACTGCTGCGTTTCTTTGAAAAGTACCAAATCTCTCTTCTGAGTTGCTCTTGTCTTTTTGAGTATAAGGTATTTATTACCACTGGGATAAAAACAGAATGTTGATGGTCACATGATGCAGGCAGCTGGGATTTCAACTCAAGGTCAGTCACTGGACCCTCAGGCAGCCAGATAGTGTTGTTTATTTTTTGCCAAATTGATGATGCCTTTAGCCTTTAAATAAGGAGCACTGACTATGATTAAATTTTGTCCTAAAGAGATATTTCACACTCTAATACATAGAATGTATCTCATTAAAATTGTAACAGAGTAAGAAAAGCTTACTTCAGAGATCTCTCAGAAAAAAATTGGAGTACAGCCTGAAGTTATCTAAAATAATCAGCATGGAACCATGCAGATTTGAAATCAGATGACAAACATGTACTTTCAAAGCATGAACATTTGAAAACAGTAACTTGCATCAGTTTCTAAACGAGGGATTTAATGTAACTATCAGAATAATCAGTGTGAGATACTGAAATATAAAATTGAATTTGGGTCTTCAGAATTAGAAACTTAACAGAAAAAGGAGGTCATTGTAGAAATGTTACGAAATAATTTTGTTTTTATGCCTAATTTAGAAATTGAATGGGCCGGGTGCGATGGCTCACCACTGTAATCTCAGCACTTTGGGAGGCCGAGGCGGGCGGATCACGAGGTCAGGAGATCGAGACCATCCTGGCTAACGCAGTGAAACCCCGTTTCTACTAAAAATACAAAAAAATTAGCCGGGCGTGGTGGCGGGCGCCTGTAGTCCCAGCTACTCGGGAGCCTGAGGCAGGAGAATGGCGTGAACCTGGGAGGCGGAGCTTGCAGTGAGCCGAGATCGCGCCACTGCACTCTAGCCTGGGTGACAGAGCGAGACTCCGTCTCAAAAAAAAAAAAAGAAAGAAAAGAAATTGAATGAAAGTTCATTGATAATGCAGAGATTCTAAAATAAATGTAGCCAAAAATAAAGCCAATCAGCATACCAAAACTATTACAATCTTAGAAATCCATTATGATTTTTAAAAAGTGCTTTTTTTTTTTTTTTCCTCTGAGATGGAGTTTCGCTCTTGTCGCCCAGGCTGGAGGGCAATGGCACGATCTCACCTCAACCTCCGTCTCCAGGGTTCAAGCAATTCTCCTGCCTCAGCTTCCTGAGTAGCTGGGATTACAGGTGTGCACCACCACGCCTGGCTAATTTTGTATTTTTAGTAGAGATGGGGTTTCACCATGTTGGTCAGGCTGGTCTCAAACTCCTGATCTGAAGTGATCTGCCCACCTTGGCCTCCCAAAGTGCTGGGATTACAGGCGTGAGCCACTGAGCCCGGCCGAAAAGTGCTATATTGCTATTCCCTACTATTTATTATTCTGAAAGAGACATATCACATGTTTAAACATTTAAATAACGAACAAACCTCCTGGGATCATCATATTTATCACGCACTTTTTAAAGAAAATCAAACATGCTTCTGTTTATACAAATTTATTCCCATTCTAAATATTTATTTTACAAACAGAATACTTTCTTATATTCTTGGGCTACATGAATCATTATTATCAACAGAAGGGTGTCTGTCATTACAGGAAGCACAATACTTGTATACTTTTGAGGGTTACTCACACACACGCGCACACACACATGCACACACATACACACAGAGTTTGGGACCTACAAGACTTTATAATCTTATTATGCCTGCTACCCATTTCATCTTCTTCTTCACTGTTTGTCTTGTTGTATCTCTGTTCGTTGTGGCCTACCCACCCCTGCTCCTCTCTGACAGTTTTGGGTTGAACTTACCTGGCTCTGGTTCCAGGAGTGGGTGTCTGATGGAACCTGCCCAATCAGAACACTGTACTCCTGAACTAGGTTGATTGATTCAGGAATGTGTAGGTGATTTCTTCAGAGTCAATTACAAGTAATCCTAGGTCTTCTGTTGGAGAGAATGGTGTTTTCATTTTCTATTGGAATTGAGGTACAATGATATAAGTCTAAGACTAATAATGGGTCCCATATCGAGAGATAATGTCTAAGAGCTTTTTTTTTTTTTTTTTTTAAGAGCCTTTGAAAACACAGTGGAGAAAGGGTGAGAGAGGTACTGGGCTAGGTGACATCACTTGAGATCCCAAAACTAACTGTATCTGAAGTAAGTAATACCTCTTCACTTTTTCGTTACATGAGCAAAGGAAACTTTTTTTTTTCTTAAACTGGTTTGCTAGGTTTTTGTAAATTAGCAGAAATGGTGCTTACATACACACATATATGTATGTATGTATATTTTGGTTGAGATTAAGAAATAGAGACCTAGGTTCTAATGATATAACTGACTAAAGATAAAATTAATCCAATTATTGAAAGTTTCAGCACCTCAGTTGCCTCTTTAAACAATGAGTTAGTTAGATTACATGACTGACAGTTGTCTAGATCTAAAATCATTGGATCCAATCAATTGATTTTCATGAATGAACAAAGACATTTAAATCTGGAAGTAAGTTCTATTAAACCTAGTATCTTGATAACCCCAGGCCAGATAAAACTATAAAAAAAAAATGACTGGTCTCTATATCAGTCGATGGGCACCATTTTATAGTTAATTTATTTCAGGAACATGGCAGTTATAACACAGGTAACTATAGGACAAGCTGGTAAACCTCATTGTAGGTAATCACTGAGCTCAGGGAGGTAGCATGATGTGGTGGATAACAGCAAGGGATAGGGAAGGAGAAAGTTTGACTTTCAAAGTCTAATTCTAACTCAGAATTCTTCATCTGTAAAATGGGAACAATAATAGCTCTCTCACAGGCTTGTCCTAAGTATTTACTCACATAATATACACAAAGCTCTTATTACAGTACGTAGCACAAAGTAAGTACTCAAAATTTGCCATATGTCATTATTAGCTGCGGAGCTATTGCACTGACCAAGTGCTTGAAAAAACAAATCATTTCCTTTGGCGTGAGTGTTAATGCACAGAGGCTTTGAAAAATACTATGTGAAAGTCATTAAAAAAAGAAAACCTCTCAGCAGATTAGCTTCCTTCAACCTTTGTAAGATCCTGCTTTTGACGGCCAACCCAGTGCTTTCCACACTTTCTCACACATTGCCTGTTATTTCTGGTCAGGAAAATAAATAAATAAGTGCCCATCTGGCCAAGTATTTTTCCACCTTTATATGAACCAGAAATACCAATTGTTTCTAATGTGTATTCCCCAGATGCAATACTTATCCTCTATTTACAGCTAAGCCACTGATTACTGTGGAAAATATTGTCAGCAAACCATACCCCAAAATGTATTGCTGTGAAAGGGGAAAAAAATATTACAAAACAAAACCCTAAACCGAATCGATAACAGCACTCATGTCTTGGATAGATTTACAGAAAGAGAAGGACGTCGCTATTTTTATTTGCTAAGAGATGTTGCCTTTTTTTATATTAAAATATTTAAAGTTACTTCTCTGATTGATCTGTTTCTTTTGAGACATAATCTTGCTCTGTTGCCCAAGTTGGAATGCAATGGTGAGATCATGACTCACTGTAGCCTTGACCTCCTAGGCTCCAGTGATCCTCCTGCCTCAGCCTCCTGAGTAGGTGGGACTATAGGCGTGTTGTCACTATGCCTGGCTCATTTCTTTTCATTTTTTTTTTGTAGAGATGAGGTCTCACTCTGTTGTCCAGGGTGGTCTTGAACTCCTGGGCTCAAGGGATCCTCTCTCTCCTTGGCCTCCCAAAGTACTGGCATTATAGGCATGAGCCACCACACCCAGCCACTCTGATTTCTGAGTCTTAATCAAAGTAGCAAACTTATAAAGTAGTGATTTCATCACATGCCAATATTAACAAAGAAAAAGGAAGAGTAGAAAAAAAACTCCATAACTGATACTGTAAAATATTTTTCTAATTTGCATAAAGATATCAGTTCTACCCTAGTATATTTACAAGATATGACAATTCACTAACATTTACATTTTAATTCATATAACCAGTTTGTAAGAGAAGGAATCCTATCAAGGAAAATAAGCCTACAGAAAACTAACTTTTTGTGATAAAATGATTTTATAAAGCTGACAATAAGCATTTAAAGAAGTACTAGAACATGAACCTTTAACACATATCCAATCTACTGTTTTAGAAAAAATTAAGAATGAGTTTTTCTGCAAAAATGTATGCAACGCAAATTCTAGTTTAAAGCGGAATATCCTGTAATCTAATAAATATGGAGATGATTTTTTATAGTGATGTAATGGGCTAGATTGTACCTTTAGACTTATGGGAATAAAAATATTATTTCCTAATTTCAAAACTATTTTAAATCTTTTAAATTCTACTAAATTAAATAAGAAAATAAAATTTGAGTTAGCCACTCAAACAGGAGATTTGTTATTCTGATTTAAAAACAATTGCCTTTGGTAACAATCACTCTCAAACAGTTCGAGAAAAATATATGTATGTATATATTCATGGGCAAGGAGAAGGATTTAGAAAAGGAGAAAATTTTTCTAAGTTTCGGTGATCAATTGGAATGAAAGTGTGAAATTACCTTCAGCAGTGTTGTCAACTAAACTCAGCACTTTCTGTCTCAACAGGTGCACACTCAAGCCCACCAACTCTCAGCTATTTGTCAAAGCTAAGGAAAAAGATAGCCAGTCCCCACACAGCTGCGCCTCTGGCTGCCACTACAAAAGAATGAGGCTCGGCTATTTTTAGGTTTGGGGTAGGCAATCAGCCAAATCTCAGCAGCACCACAAGAGCATGTGCTGAGATAACTGAGACTTTAGAGTTGAACCAGGACTCCACCAGCCTCCCAACTTCCTGCCTAGACACCCAACCCTGTGTTCTCATTTCTGTGGTCACCAAGTCACCTGTGGCTTTCATCATGATCCGCGAAATCTACATTTCTGTGCTTTTCCCAGCTCCTCTCCTGTTACAACTTTCATTTCTTATCTCTAGACCTTGAAGCCATGAAATTTTCCTTATTAGTTCCTTTACTCAACAAGGAAAAAAAAAAACCTCAGAACACTCTGCAGCTGCTTCTATAAAGAAAGCAGTGTGGGTTTAATTTGTTTATAATCTGTCCTTCATTTCATTAAGCCTCTAAGTCATGGCCATTGCTACCACTGTGCTTAAAAACAAGAGAAAAGTGAATGCTTATAAAGAGTGGCAGGTACAATAACTGATGTACAAAGAAGGAAAACACAGATTACTGTGTTTTGATAGTTAAAAGGGAGCCAGAATAGGGAGCTAAGGAGTCTGATATCAATAGCGTACATTATTTTACCTTTGTTGAATGCTGATCCAGAAGGTTAATATGTCTAAGAATGTGCATTTGTGAAATTTCCCTATGTGCTAGCATAATCTCACTAGGTGTTGCATGATTTCCATGAGGAAAGCTGGGTTTTAGTGGAATAAATTATTCTACATTAGATTTTTTTGTCTTCTCATAACTGTTTTTTATTTGTAAACAAAAGTACATGCACACATTTACGGTATCCTCAGGTATTGCTATCAAAACAGTAATAAAATAACGCACTATTCTTTTTTAATGATTTTTTTTTGTTGTGAACTGACATGAGCTTTCATATACGAAATCCGATTTTGAAATATAAGGCACATTTATTTTGAAATTAATAGGGAATCTAGGTCAAACAAAGCAAAGCCAAACCTTAATTTTACAGAACTGTTCTACCTCTACAAAAAGTCACTCAAAACAATTGTTTAAATTGTGTGCAATAATTATCTTGAAAATGCATTTTAACATGTTCCTATAAATATAATTCCATATGACTAAGATGAAAATAATAAATAAAATAATAGTGGAATAAAATTGATACTTTATTTCCTATTTTGATTTTATCCCCATTATTCCAGAACAAATTCAATATGGCAGATAAATTGCAAGGATTTATTTTTTCTTTCTTTTTTTTTTTTTTTTTTTTTGAGACAGAGTCTCGCTCTGTCGCCCAGGCTGGAGTGCCATGGCACGATCTTGGCTCACCGCAACCTCCACCTCCTGGGTTCAAGCGATTCTCCTGCCTCAGCCTCCTGAGTAGCTGGGATTACAGGCATGCACCACCACGCCCGGCTAATTTTTGTATTTTTACTAGAGATGGGGTTTCACCATGTTGGTCAGGCTGGTCTCGAACTCCTGACCTCGTGATGCTCCCACCTCGGCCTCCCAAAGTGCTGGGATTACAGATGTGAGCCACCGCGCCCGGCCCAGCAAGGATTTATTTTCAGGGAGCCAGTATTATGCAGAGATCAGCCTGCTTTAGAAAATACAGTGTCTCTCATGAATGAGTGCACCATTTGCCAAAAATAATCTATTGTATCTTCTTCTCAGGCCAATAATTAAAAATGTATTATACTCCAAAGAAAAACGTAAATAAAAAAGACAATCCTGTAAAATTATATGGTTATTGTATCTCTACAAAAACGTTTTTAATATTGTAAAATATATTATTTACATAAATATGTAAACATTCAAATTGAGGAGCAAGTTTTAGAGTAGGGCTCAAAATCTCATATCTGCCACTTATTAGTTATATGGCCTTGAGAAAGTTACTTAAGCACTGTGCTTCGGTTTTGTTTTTTAATCTCTAAAATGGGAAGTATTCTTTCCTCATGATCTGGTTCTGAAAATTAAATGAGGCACAAATATTCACACTCCCCCAGGGTTCTCTAATCCTTTCCTTGATAGTGTATTCCCTCCGTTAGAAATCTCGTTCTCTTCTTTAACTTCAACTATCATCTATCTCCATGTAAGTGATTCTCAAGTATTTCTCTCTTAAGTCTAACTCTTTAGTTTTAGTCCTCCCCCACAAAAACTTTTATTATCTACCCACCTGGATAGCCCATCAACAATTCTAAGTTGATGTCTCAAAACAAAAGGCCCTTTTCCCCTTCCCCTCCAATTTTGATCCTATTCCTGGTTTCTCTACTTCTGTTAATGTTACCATCATCTCACCAGTTCCTCACGGTGATTAGCTATTAACAATTTTAAGAATTCCAACATATGCTTCATTAAACATTAGATAAATGGGCATTTATTGACTGCATGTTAAAGAAGTTCCATGGTGAAATGAGTTTGGGAAACTAGGTTAAAAGTTAAACAGCTGTCTTTCCTGCAGGATTCCAGAGCATCTTTGCATATGCATTACATTGAGAAACTCTAAGGGGATTTAGTATGTAGTATTCCCCTCAGTTTTATGACTAAAGAAGTCTTTTTTGGGGGCGTGGGGCCAAACAGAGGGGGCCCATAATGAATAATTACTGTGCCATAGAGCACTCTTGGGGGATTAATATCAGGGAGTCTGCTATCATTATTCCCTTTTCCTCATCTCCCACAATTTAGCAACAACTTACTACCAAATAATTTGGTTCTCCTTGTTGAATCCCTATCTCATTCTGAGCTACTGCTTTTGTAAATCTGGCCTAGGCTACATGTAGGCTCTCCTTTCACTGCCTTTTCTTATTCTAACATCTCAAACTCTCAATTCAATATCTTCTGTAGAATTTGAGATCTATTTTCTGTAAGAGATACAAAGATGGGTAAGACATGATCTCTATTGTCTTGGGATCTGTGAGAGATGGGAATAGGCCAGCAGAGTTCAAATATATATTCAATACCATAGGCATAGACATACCACATAAATGTTGTGAAACAAGAAATAGCAGTCAATGCTTATATGGGAAAGGTTACATTAGGTTTTTTTAAGGAAGTGGGACCTGGATAATATTAGTCCAGGAACTTCTAAATGAAAGATTTAAAAGTATTTATCTACCCCAAAGACTATCTTCTCATCTTAAACTAAAAATAAGTTTAAAATATAATTAATATTTTCACAATAAAATGCTCACTGGAGAAACTTTGAAAAAAATAAAAATGTAAATATAAGAATATTGAAGTAATCCAGCGTGTAATTTCACCCTAGATACATCTACTGCTAATGATGGGTGAAATTTTATTTTGGATATTTGACTTGTCTACAAGTCAACAATTCTAAAGATTTAGCTTCCAGAGCTAAAGTTTTCTAACAATAATGCCAATTAAATGTTTTAAAAGGTTAATTATAAAAGATATGATGATTAAATTTAAAATATCTTGTCACCTCCTGTTCACAACATTTTGCTTTTCATTTCCATATATCTTAAGTATACATCTGAAAGCTATGTGAGCGTTGTAAATTGTCAAGTTGAACTTAACAAAGTATAGTTTATGTTGGGGAAAACTCATTAAAATGGGATCCATTTCTTAATTTCCAAAAGAATCATCTATATGAATTGAACATTGATTTAATATCATTGAATATTCAATACCCATATACACATTAGAATGTTTTTATGATTTACATTGCTTACAGCACAGAATATTCACCAATATTATTGCTAAGAGTAGAGATATGACTCAAAAGTATCAATATTTAATCCAGTAAGTATGAAGCTCTATGTTAATTGCAATCACTATTCATAAACAATTTGCCCAACATTGCCTAAACATTTCTTGCCATTCAAGGGTTTATTTTTTGCCTTCTGTGAATTAGAGTATGATAGTAAATGGTAATAAATGATCTTAAGTGATAGTAAATAAGTAATTTCTATAACAGAATAACTTTTGTTCTAGAGATATGTGCAAGGCACAATATCACTACACTCAACTGTATCCAAAGCAGGCCACAGATCCTTAAAGAGAAAACTTAGGAATTTACTGTGGCAACAGGAGAGGAAAAAAGCAAATAAAAAGGAAATGTACAAATGTAGGTATGAGGAGGATGTCCTTTTCTAAAAAAAATAAGGTAGTTTAGCATAGTTGCAATGTGTGGTATATGAGTGGGGCAAAAAATGAGGTAGGAAGGACAAATAAAGGACCAGTAACGAAGAGCTTTTGAAATTTATTTCAGGTCTGGGAGTGATGATTTTGACTTAATTCCCTGGTTTTCTCTAATACTGTTTGTTGTTGTTGTTTTCTGCATATATAGAAAATTGGTAGATTTTATACATGTGCATTACATATGTATTGGTAGATTTTATACATACACATATATATGTATAATTACGTATATACATATACAATTGTTGAATCATTAAGTTGCAATAATTAAATTTATTACTCTTTATGATGCTGTGGGTATTACAGAAGCATTGTAAGGTACTACATGGTCCTCTTATACCATAGATTTTTTCTAAACCTACAACTGTATAGCGTGTGGTATGATATGAAAATCACTGGCTGAGAACTAGCTGGGTCTTAGTTTTGTATCTAACTGTTTCTGAGAACTGGAGTCTCACTTTCCACATCTATATAATGAGGAAATGGAAAATATTCTCCAGGTTTTCTGCAGTTGTGATGATCTATGACCTTGTTATTCACTGTAGGGTGTTAAGCTGGTGAAACAGCAAAACTGCAGACCAAATACCAGTTTTCCTTTAACCATCTCTCTCTCTCTCTCTCTCTCTGTCTCTCTCATCATCTATCTAACATCTACTATTTTAAAAAATCATCAGTCTTCTCAATGCATATCTTACTTTCTCCATTTTCCCATTCTTCCAGCCCTTTGCTCTTTTCGGACACCTTTTATTTACCCGTCTACAGTTCTTTTGCCCTCTGGTACTTTGTGGTTACCAGTTGCTATTGTACTTCCCACAAAGGATCAATTTGCACTACAATCATACTGACAGCAGTCCTCAGTAACTCAGGGGAAAAAAAACAGACTCTTAAGCAGCAGTGGGGATCCAAAGACCATTTCCCAGGGAACCAGTCGGGTCACAGGAAGAGTGGGAAGAGAACAGCAAAGCCCCAAGTTATTTTCCTCTTCCCACATATTTCACTCAGATGCCAATTTTTGTTTGCTCTCAAAGCTGTTTTATTTGACAGGGCTCCTTGTTATGGGCTAAATTGCCCCTTTCCCAAATTCGTCTGTTGAAGTCCTAACCCCCATTGTCTCAGAATGTGACTGTAGTTGGAGATAGGGTCTTTAAAGAGGTATTTAAGGTTAAATGAGGTCACTAAGGTGAGCTCTAATCCAATCTGATTAGTATCCTTATAAAAAGATGAGATTAGAACACAGACAGGAACAGAGGAAAGACCATGAGAAGACAGATGGAGAGGGCAGCCTCTGCAAACTAAGGAGGGAGGCTTCAGAAGAAATCAGCCCTGATTATACCTAGCCTTTACTACTGTGGAGAAAATAAATTTCTGTTTAAGAAACCCAGTCTACTGTGGTATTTTGTTATGGCAATGCTAGCAAAATAATACATTCCTTATTCATTTGTAATGTTTTATATTTGAATTCAGATCATTCTCATTCTCCCCTTTGTATATATATATAGATATATATCCTTCTTGCTGCTAGAACAATAACAAAAAGATGATTAACTGTAAGCATAGTGTTACAATGAACTCTGTTGCTCACATGCCCTTAGATATGTATTTGTTTATTCAAAAAAAGCATTAACCAAATAACTTTATATATTAAGCCTTATGCTCATCTCTAGGTATGGGGGAGAGGTGGGAAACATGATGATAAAATAACAGTATCCGTGTAACACTGATAAACATGCCAAGATATTTGTATTCTCATATTAAAGTAAATAAATTGACAAAATATGGTGAAAGATATTGTGCATTTTGATGAACTTATGCTATGAGAACACTTTAAAACCATACCTAACCTCCATTGGCGGAGTCAATGGAGATTGGTGAGAGGGGTTAGGAAATAATTTTTCCTGAGATGAAGTGGAAACCAGGCTTTAATTAATTAAGTGATTGGTAAGGAGAAGGAGGGTAATTTCAGGAAGACTTATCCCTGACAACACGAAAGCATGGTAGTTTGGGGGCCCGCACATAGGAGCCTTTGGCTAAAGGGTTAGGAGTAAGAGATGAGGAGAAGGGTAGGAGAGGAGGTAGCAGCAATAAGCTGGGTCCTGATAACATGACCTTACATACATCACGGAGTTGGCATTAGTCTCTAGCAGGAAAAAATATTTTCCAACTTTTAAGTTAAGGCTAATTTTAAACTTGTCACCTGTAGTAATCTCTTTAAATGAATGAAATTTCCCTGTCTTCATTTATAGTAATCAGCATCTTTCACTGCAAGGAAATTTCTAAGTGAATGTACATTTTACTCAACTTCTAATTTCCTTTAGGAATCTAAACTCATTCAATATTTTCACAAAATGATAACT